>NC_000007.14:147640197-147791713 GCF_000001405.40 Homo sapiens
AACTAACATATGCCTTGCCTCATACATTTATTATTTTTTGTGAAGCAAATACTTAAAATCCATGCTTAGCAGTTTTCGAGATATAATAAATACATTGCTATTAACCGTAGTCACCATGTTATACAATAGACCTTTTGATATTAAGCCTCAGTTTCCAGCGACTTTTTCTGTCAAGGAGAAATTATAATGCCTACTTCAGGGTGATTGGGAGAATTTCATAAGGTAATATACTAGGTACTTATAAGACTTGATACACTTAAGGACATGATAAGTAGCAAGTAGTATATTGATTTTTTAAAATCATGTTAAGCAACTTTGTGCTATGTCAGAGACCAATGGGCTGTTGGATGCCCCAAAACAGCAATGAATTGAAAGCAATGTTGTAGGGAGCAGTTTACAGAGAAGAGTTATAAGCAAACAGTGATAAGGCTCCGATGACTGAAGGAACACCAAGGTTCTTAATCTCACGCAGAACTGGATAAAACGACATGGACATACGTGGAGTGGTTTTAAGGAGAGGAGAGTTTAACAGGCAAGAAAGAAGGAAGGAGGAAAAAAACAGCTCCCTCATACAGAGACAGAGAGAGGAAGGGATTCCAATGAGAGAAAACCCTGTGTGTGGTGGTAAAGTGGCTGCTTATATGAGGAGGCTGGAGGAGGTGGTACCTGACTTGCATAGGGCTCAGGGAATTGGTTTGACCGGGCACGTTATTCACGTAGCCCAGGGGGAAAACTGGCCCTCCCACCCTAGCCTTTTAATATGCAAAGGCAGGGCGCCATGATGCTCTACCCACATGGAGATATGTGGGGGCGGCCATGTTGCCAGGCACATGTGAGGGCAAGGAAGAACAGGGCAGGAATCGCCATGTTTGGGTGGACCCAGTTTCTAATGGCCGGTATTTGCACATCAAAGCTTGCCGGCCTGGCTCTAAGAGCGGGGGCTTTCCTGCTAGACAAGAAACATTTTGGAGCTGCTTTAAAAGACCCCTTTTCCCCTCTATGTGTCTAAAATAATTTCTTAATAATTTCTTAATAACTTCTATAACGATAGTACACAATATTGTGAAAATGTGAGTGCTTTCTATGTGCAAAGCCTTGTGCTAGAATTATAGACAGAGTACCCTCTAAGAAATAAGGTTGGAAAGGAGGGTGGGAGTAAACTGGGAAGGAAAGTAAATGCTGTGCTGTGGAGTTGGGACTTCATCCAGAGGGCCAGTACTTCTCAGACTTTAGTGGGCATTACAATACCTGGTGAGATAATAAAACCTGCTTTGCTGGGCTCCATTTCCTGAGTTTCTGATTCAGTAGGTCTCAGGTGGTGCTTGAGAATTTGCATTTATAATGAGTGCTATGGACTGAATTATGTTCCCCCAAATTCCTGTGTTAAACCCCTAACACCCAATGTGACTATATTTGGAGATTTGGCTTTCAGTAAGTAATTAAGATTAAATGAGGTAGATCATAATGGTGGGGTCCTAGTCCAATAGGATTGGTGGCCTCAGGAGAAGAAACAGAGCTCTGTCATGTGAGGGCATAGCAAAAAGGCAGCCACCTGTAAGCCAGGAAGAGAGCCCTCACCAGAAACAGAATCAGCCAAAACCTTGATCTTTCACTTCCCAGCCTCCAGAACTGTGAGAAAATAAATTTCTGTCATTGAAGCCACTCAATCTATGGTATTTTGTTATGGAAGCCTGAGCAGATGAATACAATGGGGTTCCAAGTGATGCTGATATTCCTGCTCTAGAGACCATGCTGAGAACCAGCACAACTCTTTTTTCTGTTCACTTTCACTTATCATAGGTGTGTGTGTGTGCGTGTGTGTGTGTGTGTGTGTTTTAACTGGATTCTGTTTCCAGTGCCAGGAAAAGTCAAAGACTGTATGTAGAAGACCAAGGGCAATAAGAGCCACTAATGAACCTCATCAGCTTGTCTTCACTGTTTCATGAGCGGCTGCTCCTTATTGAAGCCCTTTTCACAGATTCCAGTTAATTAGTCTTCAGTCCTGGGGTAGGGGTGGAGGTGGGGACAAATTCCTGACCAGCAAAAGAACCTTGGTACTCTCAGCTTTATGTTCTTTATTTTCTTTCTTTCTTGTATTAAACTCCAAAGTCAGCTTTCAGTTTTTGAATTTTGCTCTGGTAATTAAAAAACACAGTATGGCTTCCAAATATGTTCAACTTACGGTTGAGGTACCAGGAGAATTAGACTAGAGGTGGGAAAATAGTTCACCTTTAGTGCTCCTGGTCTTGCAGTTCAGCATCTTTCTTTCCCCCTCATTGACATTCCTTGTCTCTTCCCCTCGGCCACCGTGAAGCCTCACACACATAACCACTCTCCTTTACAAAACATAAAATGTACAAAACATCAGGAAAAATGGGATAAACTTGTTATTAAGCACTCTGTTAGTTGCATTTCCTAATAATGAGATGAAGACATTTTTCTTTAACCTCTAGATACCCCTTTCACGAGAAAAACTGCTAAATTGAAATCAAGAGTAAACTTTTAATCTGAACAGTAAATATATCACTTTCTTTGTATTTCTAGACATCTAGACACTGGGTTTCCCATCATTTGTAGATTATTATTGTACATAATAAATAATACTTCAAAAATCAGTTTCTCATAAGCTTCTTGCCTGTTTGGACATTCTATATATATATCAAATCTTTGGTTCACATAGGATTTGTACTTAACAAATGTTTGCTGATTCAAATGAAATGAATAATATATAGCTTTAAGTGTTACCTCACCCAACCTTGGGGCAGTGGTTTAAGCAGGAGTGTGCATCAAAATTTTTAGGTTGCTTGTCAAAATGTGGATTGAATGGCCTTACTCCCAGGCTTTGATAGAGCTTGGTTGGGGCCTCAGAATATTTGCTTTTAACAAACACCCATGGGTAATTCTGTGAATCACACATTGAGAAACACTGTCTTTAATTTATGGCATGAAGGTTTCTCATGTTGGAATTTAAGGTGTTAGTCCTTCATGTGGGAGAAGATTAAAGGGAATATTAGGGCTTGTCTGACCCATTGAAATAAAATGGCATACATAGTTACCTCCTTCAGCTAAAATAAATTGGCATAATAAAAATTTTAAATCCTTCTGATATACCAGTCTCTAAATATCGTAAAGTGAATTTCAGCTTACCCTTCTGAGTCATTTTTTACACTCCCAATTTTCATTTTCCAGGCCTACTAATCTGCAGAATAGCTGACGCAAGGAAAAGGAGTGGTTGAGACAGCAAGTTCCTTGTATTGTTATATTTTGCATATGTCAAAACAAGAAAGAACACAATTTAATAAAAATCTTTAATTTGTGTTTTAAAGAAGCTAATGTTTACTGTAATTGATTTTTTTTTCCTCCTTCATGGTAACATTCAATTTTAAATATCCATTTACTTATTCTTAACTAAGACTGAAATTATATTAGAACTTCTGTAGTAGTACTTGTGACATCTGTTCAAATACAAAGTATATTCATTATAGTGATTGCAATTAAAATGAATATCAAATGAGTTTGTAATAGCTTTGCGCTTAAAATGTTATTTTTTATTTTAAGAGCTTTACGCTCAAGAGTTCATTTGGGGCTCTATAGTTTCTAATGATACTTATGATAAAGAGTTGATATTCATATGGACCTCATTTTTATTTTGATAAATATTCTTTTATACCATACCATTAGCTAGTAAATGTAAAATTACCCATTATTAGTATCTTCCAATTTTTACAAGGATAGTAATACATGCCTTGTAATGTGCTCTCTTTTATTACTACAAAACTTAAAAATGGAAACAAATTAAAAATAATGATTTTGCCAGTATTTATGGTCATGTCCATTCTCGCAATGTAACTGTTACTTCAGTTGTCCTCAGCTTTACAAAATACACAGAAATGGAAAAATAAAAAGTTATTTTATTTTACGTAGAAAAGCCTGCTTAGAATGAGGCATACCAATTTGGGAATCACCAAATTAGTTCTACCCAAACAGAGAAAAATCATTAATGGTCATCCAAATGGATGTCTACATGATTTATATTTATAT
Organism: Homo sapiens; assembly: GCF_000001405.40. Taxonomy (NCBI): domain Eukaryota; kingdom Metazoa; phylum Chordata; class Mammalia; order Primates; family Hominidae; genus Homo; species Homo sapiens. Next base: position 147,644,239 of record NC_000007.14, read on the forward strand.
CCCCGGATTTGTAAATGTAATATTACCTTAACTTATGAAGGGCTAAATTAGTGAACAGTGAAATCTACTTCTCAAATAAGTACCATAAGAACTTGAATTTGGCCGGGTGGGGTGGTTCAGGCCTGTAATCCCAGCACTTTGGGAGGCCAAGGCAGGTGGATCACTTGAAGTCAGGAGTTCAAGACCAGCCTGGCCAACATGGTGAAAACCCGTCTCTACTAAAAATACAGAAAATTAGCTGGGTGTGGTGGCATGCACCTGTAATCCCAGCTACTTGAGAGGCTGACACAGGAAAATCACTTGAACTCGGGAGGCAGAGGTTGCAGTGAGCTGGTATCATGCCACTGCACTCCAACCTGGGCGATAGAGCGAGACTCTGTCGCAAAACAAACAAACAAAACAAAACAAATCTTGAATTAGATAAATCAAGCACTGAGGGAGTTCCCTTAGAGCCTACTTGAGTAGTCTTAGTCAACAATACTAATACTTTTAGATAACCAAAATGTTTCTCTGTATTTGGACAAGAACTATTATGCTGCCATTAAAATGTTTATTTGTGTATCTTACATACATTGTAGTCATATATTTATTTTACAAATCATATTACACTTTCTAGTTAAGAATTTTTTTGCTGAAGTATTGATTCCTTACATATATATTTATTTAATTGTAGAGATAAAAAGTTATCTTCCCTATTTTTCTGGCTATATTTAGCCCTGTTTTGTTGGTTTCCAGTGTTTTTCCTCTTTTAATTTTTCAGTGTTGGCTAGTTTTCATGAATGATACTTTTTACTGCTTCTTTTGTTGAAAGAAGCAATATAAATTATATATATTTTTGGATAGTTTACTATTAGATTTTGTATCTATTGAAATTGAATTATGCTTACAATTTTTGCCTATAAAGTAAGCTGTGTAAAATTCAGCATACTTTATGATACTAAACTGTGATTTAGTGGCTTTGAAAAGACAAGAAAACATGACTCTGGCATTGTAACATATAATCTATTTTTAGCAAGAAATTCTAAACTTTGGTGCGGCTATCAAGCAAATGAATTTCAAGTTATGCTGTGCATTATAAGAAGCTGCAGCATTTAACTCTTAAGACGACATGGATAAATCAATTCCAATAAAAGATTTTTCAGTAAATAAAATTTATTGTGACTAATCAGTGTATTAATCAGAAGATTATTTACTTAATTATTATACCCACTCATTGTATTAAAATTGGGTGATATAATTAAATGAGACAAGCAACGAGGATAGTAATAACTAAAGGGTAAAATTAGAAAATTGTATCGAGTAATGTTTCATACTCAGACAACTAGCATCTGCATGATGGGCACTGTAATTGAAGGGGACAGAGGGATTGCAGGGAGAAGAGTAAGCAACTATTTCAACAATATGGATAGGAGTTGATGAGAACCTCAACTGGAATAATGAGTAGGAGAATAAGTCAACAAATATTTTTTAGTTTTGCCTGTGTATCAGGAAGTGTGACATATAAGCTGATATGGGAAAGATTCATATGAGTTAACTAAGAAAAAAATGAGAGAAGGATTCTGGGTTAGCGATGTCAGCATATTCAATGATTCAGAGATGGAGATCAAGAGACACTAATTTGAAGGAAGTGAGAGGCGTCAGAATGGCTGGAGTAGTGAACTTGAAGGTGGGAGAGGCAGAAAAATGGAAACCGGAAATTAATTCAGAGTCTCTACCTAATGTTGAGGATTTTATTTGAATGGCAAACAGAATGATTTCAAGTAGGGAAGTTCTGGCTGTTCCATGGATACTGGAGTGGAGGAAGCAGAGGTGGTGGGAAGAGTCTGTCCGCACCAGAGTGCACATGGACTGCATGTCTGGGAGGCCAGCTGGGACTTGAGAGAAAGTTTGTTGTTGTTGTTGTTGCTGTTATTGTTTTTAAGTTTAGATGCTGGAATCAACAGGAGTTGTGATTACTTATATATACAGGAGGAAGAAAATTCAAGGGTGACTCAAGTTTCTGACTTGAAAAACTGGCCAACAGTTCTAAGGCTTACCTTGTTTATTAAGAAAAAACTGGAGAATTGGTGGTCACTTAGCTTTAACATGCAAAGTGATGGCACTAGGAATACAGGTTTTTATGTGATCTGTGATGGCTGATGGCATAGTGTAAAATCCTTTTAACTGACATCAAAAGATTAATGAATTAAATTTTTTCTTCCTTGAAATTTTCTTAAACATACTCTACAACTAAAATAAAATGGAAGAACTAAGAGTATCATCAGAATCCTAATGTTTTCCATTCTTGTATTTATATTGAAAGATCAGAAAACATATAGTCAAGACTGACCTATCTCAATTATGTACCAATTTTTTTTTTCCTCATGCAAAGCCTCCTGTATTGCTTCAGCTTCCTGGGCTGCCTTGGTTTCATGGCACCTGCATGATGTCTGAAGCAAGGGAGGAGCAGGCTGCAAACCTAAGCGCAGACAATTAAATACTCCTGCAAGGAAGTAACACGTTGTGTGTGTGTACATTTTATGGACCAAAGCAAGTCACATGTTTTGCTGGGCCTAACTTTAGAAGAGGACAAAGTACAATCTTCCCATGTACTCAGGAGCAAAGATCACGTGGACTTATTGAATAGTTGTAATGCCTTCTTAAGATGACTCAGAGAGGTAATGGGAGGAGAAAGAAAAGAACGCAGAAGAAAAGAAAAATACTAATTTTGTTTATTTGTTTGTGGATGGAATGTTATTATGTTCACTTTTTTTTTTTTTTTGAGACGGAATCTCACTCTGTCACCAGGCTGGAGTGCAGTGGCATGATCTAGGCTCACTGCAACCTCAGCCTCCTGGGTTCAAGTGATTCGTGATTCTCCTGCCTCAGCCTCCTGAGTAGCTGGGACTACAGGCGCATGCTGCCACGCCCAGCTAATTTTTTTTCTTTTTTTTTTGTATTTTAGTAGAGACAGGGTTTCACCATGTTGCCCAGACTGGTCTAGAACTCCTGAGCTCAGGCAATCTGCCCGCCTTGGCCTCCCAAAGTGTTAGGATTACAGGCGTGAGCCACCGCGCCCGGCCAGTTCACTTTTTTTTTTTTAACGAGGGTCAGAGATAAAGAGAGACTCCACTCAAAGGCCAATTTCAATGTAAGAGGACACCCTTCTTTTACAGATTAACTGGTAAGCAAAAAAATAAAATAAAAAATAAAAATACTGGTACTACAATTATTTGCTTCCTTATGAAACTTTCTACAATTCTTACCCACGGTGATCACCATTTTTTCTGAATTTCTGTTTCACTTAGGGCCTAACCTCTATCACTTAGCAGTTGATTATGGGCTATTCATGGCTTTTCTTGCTCTTCATTGTTTTCTGGTGTTTTAATGGGCTCTTTCTTACAATAACACAAGGTCTTTGAGGACAGGGGCCATATCTTAGTATCTTCCATCATGCCCAGCTTCTAGACATCTACCTAGATAGTGAATAAATTAGAAAAACACTAATTTTAAAAGGGGACTAAAGAAGAGGATGCAGCTAGCTAAAGGAACTGAAAAGTTATTAAACAGTAGGAAGAAAGAATCAGATTAGGAAAGTCCTATAATTGGGAAGCTAAGGGAGATGGGTATTTAACAATAAACAGGCAAGCAAGTAAAAAAATAAGCAAAAGCAAGAAAATTGAGGTATGGTGAATGGTGAGACATCCTAGAGAGGAAGCCATCCCCTGTCATTATCTGTTGGGAGGCTGCTGGAGTTTCATGTCAGTGGAGTTTGGTGGATTGAGCCACTGAAGACTGCATGGGGAAAGGAAAGAGCAGGGGTAAGTTTTCAAAAGGTTGATGGTACGAGGATGGCTACATGTAGAAAAGCTGCTTAATCAGATGACAAAGCAAGAGTAGGGGTTTAAAAATGTTTGATATTTTTAGGGATGAGGAGTTGTAAGTAAATTTATAAACTGAGAAGGAGACATTGGAGAGGTTCAGATTAAAGATGTAAGACAGAAAAGGAATAATAGGTCCCAGGAGAGAAAGAAGAGTGTAGAATTTGCTTTGGTAAAGAACAAGGACACCTGTTTCAAGAAGGGAGCTAAAGACAAGGGCAGAAGTTCTCATTAAATGTCTTGAACAATACCATTCTAGACATTTATCTCATTTAACTCTCAAAGTTACGCAAAGTAGATTTTATTATCTCTGTTTTGCAAAATAGGACTCAGAGGAATAAACTTACTGAAGGCTACCATATTAGTTCATTTTCACGCTGCTGATAAAGACATACCTGAGACTGGGCAATTTACAAAAGAAAGAGTTTTAATGGACTCACAGTTCCACATGGCTGAGGAGGCCTCACAATCATGATGGAAAGTGAAAGACATGTCTCACATGGCGGCAGACAAGAGAGCTTGCTCAGAGAAACTCGCCTTTATAAAACCATCAGATCTTGTGAGACTTATTCACTATCATGAGAGTAGCACAGGAAAGACCTGCCCCCGTGATTCAATTACCTCCCACCAGGTCCCTCCCACAACACGTGGGAATTGTGGGAGCTACAGTTCAAGATGAGATTTGGGTGTGGACACAGCCAAACCATATCAGCCATCATTGCTGGAAGTGGAAAAACTGAGTTTCAAATGTATATCTATCCTATTAAAAACCTTTCTGACACACTGAAGAAACTGTGAACATGGAGAAGTCAATGCTTGGCCACCAAAGTGAGTATAGAACTAATCCCGGCAGGAATTGTACCCACCCTCATCTCTTCAACCACTATGAAAGAACGTTTTCCCTCTTGTCATTTTCTTTTTTGTGTGCATGATTAGAAATGCTATTTACCAAGTGACCTTTGGTCAGTTCCAGTATTTCTGATTAATAAATTAATCTTAAGGTAAATTTTATTAAGGGTAGCTCGAGTTGTACTAAAAGGGTACTGCTAGTGCCTTTCAAGTGGCAGACTTGAGCTTTGAGGTGAGACTTTGATTTTGTATGTAGCTTAGTCTTTAAAATAACAAATATAAGGATGAAATGGAAACTCTGTGAGGTTATCCAGTCACTCTGTAGAGCTTGAAAATCTGCCTTCTCATGTCTTTCTGTTTAAGGTAGACTCTAACCTTTTGATTCTGAAAAGCCATGTTCAAATAAATACTTATTCTAGTATAGAATAATCATAAAGCAAAGTGAAAATGCAAAGACTGCATGAGAATTATGGGTTTCATGTTTATTTCTCCTTGTAGTTATCTGGCTATATGTTTTCTTAAGTTTTCAGACGGGATACCACACTGCTGTTAATCTTTTTTAAACAAAGATTATATATTAAAATGAGAGCAACTTAGAAATTACACCAAAGCTGAATTTTCTTTGAAGATGATCACATCTTAATGAACGGATTTGTCCTAATTTATGAGAAGTATGAGTTTATAGAGTTGCATTTAAACTAAACTTCAATATATTAAAAGACCATAAAGCCAAGTTTTTAAAATTTGCATTTTAGTTTATTATATTATAAAAGATTGTAAAAATGAAGAAACGGCTATTATCCAATTCAAAAAATTAAAAAACTACTTTTGGACTATTTTTCAAAATTCCATACTACTTACTCTGCCATTCTGAATAAAAAAAGGGATAATCATAAAAAGTCTTCTAAAAAGATTGGATAGATAAAAAAAAATGTACTTTAAACTTTGTGAAGGATAAAATAATGTAACAAAATTTAAGGAGAAAATTTTTAAAAAGTACTGACAATTTTATTATTTATCTTTATGAATATTACTCTCTAGTTTTTGCTTCCATCTGTACATACTTTCACAGAAACAAAACTGGAATGAAGTTAATCTGATAGTCTTTTCTACTGACATTAAATCGTAATTTTTTCCAGTTCATATATTTTCCTTAAAATTATCCACTTTAATTACATCGTAAAATGAAGATAAACTTAATTCATCACCTGATAAACCTAATCGTAAATTATTTTTGAAAATACCTCCCCTAAACAAGATACTGAAAAAAAGCATCAGAGTTTTACAATAAACTTCTCTTGGAAATACCTAAAGTATTACTAAGATATTGCTCAGTTATTCATTCTGCAAACATTTATTGAGTATAAAATATTTAGCTGGGTGCTATGAGAATACAATGAGGGTAAAAATAATACAGTTGACCCTTCAACAACATGAGTTTAAACTGTGAGGGTCTGCTTACATGTGGATTTCTTCTGTCTCTACCACCTCTGAGACAGCAAGACCAACCCCTCCTCTTCCTCCTCCTCCTCAGCCTACTCAACATGAAGATATGAGGATGAAGACTTTTATAATGACCCACTTATGCTTCATGATTAGTAAACGTATGTTCTCTTCCTTTTAATTTTCTTAATAACATTTTCTTTTCTCTAGCTTACTTTATTGTAAGGATACAGAATATAATATATATAACATATAAAATGTGTGTTAATTGGCTGTTTATGTTATCTGTAAGGTTTCTAGTCAACAGTAGGCTATTGGTAGTTAAGTTTGTGGGGAGTCAAAGATGTAGGTCAATTTTTACTGCACAGGGGGTTGGTGCCCCAACCCCTGAGTTGTTTACTGGACTTTTAAATAGCATTTGCCTTAAAATATAGAGTGAAATTTTTTTTATGATGACAATAAAATCATTTTGTATAAGACTTATAAATACTGAAAAAATCTTAACTAGTATGTCCATCATGGATAAAAGACTGAATAAATTTAGAATTCATAATGACTTCCAAACATTTTGATATGTGTATTTTGCATTAGGTAATTCTGCCTCCCCTGTTTGAAGAGGTTATATTTGGAGGAAAGATGAGGAAGGCTTAGGAATGGGAGAAAATAGGGTCTCAGAGTACTATTAGCTGGGATATCAGTTCAGGTTCAACCGGAGAAACAGAACAAGTAGAAGATATATTTAGAGATTTATTGCAAGGAATTGGCTTATGCAACAGCGGGGCCTGGCAAGGCAAGTCGGAAGCTGGGGCACACTATCAGGAAGGAAAGGCTGGAACTGCCAGACACAAACTGAAGCTGATGTCCACAGGAGGTAGTTCTTCTTCAAGGAAGTCTCAGCTCTATTCTTAAGGCCTTTCAACTGATTGAATCAGGCCCATCCAGATTATCTAGAATATGCTCTTTTACTTAAACTGTAATTACATTTACAAAATGCCTATGCAGCAACACCTGGAAGAGTGTTTTTTTGAATAACTGGACCCCGTAGCTAAGTTGACAGATAAAACCGACCATCACAGTCAACAAAGATGACTTTTAATATGAACTACTGATAAATCTATTTCTAGAATAGCAATGATTTATTCCCTCATTTGTATCACATATGCCTCTCTAGGTCAGCATAGTCAGGTGAGATCCACCTATTACAGGTATGGAGGGATCTTCCATTGTCCTATCTTTTCATTTCTAATGAAGATACAGTTTGGTTGAGTGTCAAATTGCCAAACAAAGTTAGAACAATGGCAATTTGAGAGAATCAAGTAGATCAACTCAGGGAGATAAGTCAAAAGACAAAGACTCCTTTTCTCTGTGTTGTTTCAGAAAAGTTGGCTCAGAAAAGATGGCTTCATTCCACATTTTAATGAATATGGCATGTGTCCATTAACTCCTCATTCTCTTATCTAAAGGGAAGCACCTCCATTGAGCCAAATACAAACATCCTCTTTCTACAACCTTCGGAAAGCTGCAATGTAGCCCTATCTTGCCATCAACATTCCTCTGCAATGTTTTCTAACTTACAGTTGAATCAAGTTCCACTACCATGCATCATAAAGGTAATGTTAAAGATGCTCAGAGAAATACGGTTGAAGAAACTCATCCTTACAGAAGCACCTATGAATAAAATAATCCATAAATTTTATTTCAGAGACTGTATCTTTCCCGAGCTAGTATTTTCCCACCAATGAATGATAAGACTTCTCTGAAATACTAGTAACACTGATGGAAGTTGGATTCTATTACCTATTGTTTGCTTACAATTTACCAACACCAGTGGCTGGGTAAATAGTTTTTATAGGACAATGAATAATGTTGCAGAGTGTTAGCTGACTAGGAATGCCACAGCCATTATGACCTTCATCCCGTATCTTAAAATCTCTATAAAAACATGCTCAGGTATTTTTTCTCTCTTGGTATTGGACCTGAAATTCAGGCTTAAAAATATATTGTCATCTATATATCTAGATAACTAATGCTTAATAATTATCTCCAAATTAGATCATGATATAAATGAAGGGAGAGGAAATAGCAGTAGTATTTATTAAAGGTTCACCTGGGCATTTTATATATATTGGCTCATTCCGCCCCAAATCTCTGTGAGTTGTATATCGGAATTTCTATTTTATATCTGAGGAAACATAACTTTAGAAGGGTTAATTAATTCACCCAAGGAAAAACAGTAAATACCGTGCTGAGAGTCCAAACCAAGATTAAAATCTAGGTTTATGTACCTCTAGACTCTATATATTTTCTACCTCAAGAAGTTAGAAAGGAAGGAAGGGGGGAAGAAAGGAAAGAGAAAGAAAGGAAGGGAGGGAAAGGAAGGAAGAAAGAGAATGAGGCAACCTAATAAGTTAATCAGTTGGGGAATTTTTAATTTCTTATATTGAAACATTAATATGGGCTTCCAGCATAGTTAAAGACCCAAACTTTATTTTTTTGTTGTTTTGTTAAGTAGTAGGCCAAAAGAGACATTTATAAGAGCTGCACAAACTTCTTTCTGAAAAATCCTACCTTTTTATGTTTTTTCAATATCCACTATTGGCCCTGACAAGTATATTAAAAAATATGGTTTATATAACAATTTGTTTGAAATGATATTGAAAAACATTTGATGTGAAAGAAACGAAAAAAACATGCCTCTCTCTACAGAGCATTTGACTTTCATGTTTTTAATATCAAGGTATTTCAAATAGAACATATGAATTGTATATTGATTAAATAGAAAAATGCTGTAAAAGGTTATCCCCTTCTTTTCAGACATAAGATATGGAAACGAAATGTTGATGTTTTCTTTCTTTCTTCTTCTTCTTCTTTTTTTGATCTTTTCAGAAGAAACTCTTATGTCTAAGCCTAACACAAGTGACACATCCAGTGTTTCATTCTTACCTTATAAATTTGCTTTTGATAGAGTTCTCCGAGATCCTGTTAAAACGAGAAAGATCAGAAATCACCAGCTTGGCAGAGCCCGGTGGGCAGCACCTGGGGGGATGAACAGCAGGACACTGATACAGACATGAAATTCAACTATCAGAGATATTGAGACTTACTCCATTAGGGTAGGGACTTGCTTCCTGTCAAAAACAAACAAACAAAAATATGAAATCACCCTCAGTTCGATTTTGTAAGTAGGAGGGAGAGCAGACTAGAGGAAGAGGCACTAGGGGAGGAACCACGCTGAGGAGCAGAAAGGAGGGCACTGGGTGTATAAGCAGAGGGGAGGGAGGTCCTGCGCAGGAAGGCAAGGCCCTGGTGGACAGCAACAGCAACTAGAACAAACAGTCCACTCTGCAGGTCTGTTCAGCCAGCCTGTTGGCTATATTTAGTATTTCATAAATTTTATAAACTCATGTTACTTTAGTTGGCTCAAATGTTAAAATCAATTAATCTTTCTCTTTAGAAGGCAGATATTTAAGCCTACCTAGAAACCAAACATATTTTATTTTGTTTTTATTTCAAAATCTCAAAATGGTGAGGTAATCAAGGCAGCAAAATTAAGAGGATCAACATTATGAGACGTTGAAGTATACCAAAAGAAGCTTAATATGTAAACGAGGACAAACAGGTTTCTGCTCCATTAATCACAGTTATAAATTTGCATAAAGAGAACTGGGAGAACAATTTATAAGGTTCTAATGTAAATATAAGAAATCTTAATGAAATGGTATCAACCAAAGCCGAGAAAAAGTGTGTACCTCCTAAATGCTGGTTATGCTACATAGGTCTCTTAGATTTTCACAAATGACTTGAATTTTGGAATAACTAGACAAATGTTCTCCAAACTAATAAAAGATGGCCAAAAGGTAGATTAATATAGTAAAAAATTATAATATACTTTTTTGGCATCGGAATGTTCTAAAATAATTGTTTAAATATAGGTGTTAGCAATATCCAAAAATATATTCTAAACCTGATGACGAAGGTATAAGATAATCAATGGCAATGATTTGTCTCCTCCTTCTATCCCTGAGCAATTTCTTATTCTTTTTCCTTCCAGTCTGGGAATAAACCACTTTCTTTGTTTAGCCATAAGAAACAACTCATCCATTAAAGTTTTATCATGAGATTGCAGCAATTCAGTTACATCTTCAGACTCCATTTCTAATGCTAATTCTTTTGTTATTTCTATTACATTCGCAGTGACTTGCTCCACTGAAGTTTTGAACCTCTCAAACTCACTCATGATGTTTGGAATCAACTTCTTTCAAACTCCTTTTATTGCTAATATGTTGATTTCCTCCCATGAATGTTTTTAATGGCTTCTAGGATGGCAAATCCTTACCAGGAGGTTTTCAATGTAGTTTACTCAGATCCATCAAAGAAATCACTATCCATGGCAGCTATAGCCTAGCAAAATATATTTCTTTTTTTTTTTTTTTTTTTTTTTGAGACTGAGTCTCACTCTGTCGCCCAGGCTGGAGTGCAGTGGTGTGATCTTGGCTCACTGCTGCAACCTCCACCTCCCAGGATCAAGCAATTCTCCTGCCTCAGCCTCCCAAATAGCTGGGATTACAGGTGCCCGTCACCATGCCCGGCTAATTTTTGTATTTTTAGTAGAGACAGGGTTTCACCATGTTGGCCAGGCTGATCTCTTCTGACCTCAGGTGATCCACCCGCCTGGGCCTCCCAAAGTGCTGGGATTACAGACGTGAGCTACCATGCCTGGCCCATATTTCTTTTTCTTTTTTCTTTTTTCAAGGCAGAGTCTCACTCTGTCACCCAGGCTGGAGTGCAGTGGCACAATCTTGGCTCACTGCATCCTCCGCCTCCTGGATTCAAGCAATTCTCCTGCCTCAGCCTCCTGAGTAGCTGGGATTACAGACACATGCCACCACGCTTAGCTAATGTTTGTATTTTTATTAGAGATGGGGTTTTATCGTGTTTGCCATGCTGGTCTCGAACTCCTGACCTCAGGTGATCCGCCCATCTTGGCCTCCCAAAGTGCTGGGATTACAGGCGTGAGCCACCGCGCCCAGCCTATTTTTTAAATAATATAACTTGAAAGTCAAAATTACTCCTTTGTCCATGGGCAATAGAATTCATGTTGTATTAGCAGGCATGAAAAAACATTAATCTTGTTCATCTCCATGAGGGCTCTTGCCTAACCAGGTGCATTGTCAATGAGCAGTAATATTTTGAAAGGAATATTTATTATTTTTTCTGGGCAGTAACTCTCAATGGGCTTAAAGTATTCAGTAAACCTGTTAAAGTTGTAAACAGATGTGCTGTCCTCCAAGCTTTGTTGTTCCATTTCTAGAGCACAGGCAGTGTAGAGTTAACAGAACTCTTAAGGATCCTAGGATTTTTGCAAAAGTAAATGAGCACTGGCTTCATCTTCAAGTAACCTGCTGCATTAGCCCCTAATAAGGGGCTGTCCTTTGAAGGTTTGAAGCCAAGCGTTCACTTTTCCTCTTTAGCTGTGAGTGTCCTAGATGGCATCCTCTTCCAATAGAAAGATGTTTCATCTAGATTGAAAATCTGTTGTTTAGTGTAGCCACCTTCATCAATTACCTTAGCTGGAACTTCTAGGTAACTTGCTGTAGCTTCTATATCAGCATTTGCTGTTTCACTTTGCACTCTCACATTACGAAGAAGGCTTCTTTCCTAAATCTCATGAACCAACCTCTGGTAGCTTCAAATTTTTCTTCTGCAGACTTCTCACCTTTCTGAGCCTTCATATAACTGAAGAGAGTTAGGGCCTTGCTCTGGATTAGGCTATGGCTTAAGGGAATGTTGTGGTTGGTTCTATGCAGACCACTAAAACTTTCTCCATATCAGCAATAAAGCTGTTTCACTTTTCTATCTTTCATCTGTTCACTGGAGTAGCACTTTCAATTGCCTTTGAGAATCTTTTCTTTGCATTCACAACTTTGCTAGCTGTTTGGCGCAAGAGGGTTAGCTTCCAGCCTATCTTGGCTTTCGACATGTCTTCCTCACTAAGCTTAATGATGTCTAGCTTTTGATTTAAATTGAGCGATGTGTGACTTTCTTTCACTCGAATACTTAGAGGCCATCTTATGGTTATGAACAGGGCTAATTTCAATATTATTTTGTCTCAAGGAATAAGAAGGCCTGAGGAGAAGGCAAAAGATGAGGGATCAGCTGGTCAGTAGAGCAGTCAGAACTCACATAATTATCAATTAAGTTTGTCATCTTCTATGGGCACAGTTAATGGCACTCCAAAACAATGACAATAGTAACGTCAAAGATCACTGATCACAGATCACCATAACAGATGTAATAATAATGAAAAATTTTAAATTTTGAAAGAATTACCAGAGTGTGACAGAGAGACACAAAGTGAGAGCATGCCATTGAAAAAACAAACAACAACAAAAAAACCCGATGCCAATAGATTTACTCGAAGCAGGGTTGCCACAAGCCTTCAATTTATAATAAAGCATATGATCTGTGAAGCACAATGAAATGAGAATGCCTGTGTATATCTGAAGTCACCCAATGGAGGATGTATCAGTGCCTATGTCTCTGTGTGGGAACATAACATGATGTGTCTGTGTGTGTGGTTTAAATATATAAATAACACACACACACTCACAAACACACACTCGTGGTTTCAAAAAGAAACTACTCAAGCACAATTCTTCTACTCAAAATGTCCCTGAAGTGAGACATTTAGCTCTGATGAACTTCTATACTATGTGGGGCAGACTTCTTGAAAATAACAATACACAGAGCTTATTTGAAAAGCAAACAAATCAGATTACTTATATGCTATAGGTGTTTGCTATTAAATTTGAAAATAACATATGTGGGGAGAATAATCAGGCTGTAGGTAACTAAAAGTTGACTGTCATCACTAAATTAACTACAAGTGAATCCAAGATTAAAAGTGACAGAGGCAGAAAAAAATAAAAATGAAGTGTAATGTCATACAGCTGAAACCAGAGTAATTTACCAAGAGCAGATACAAATTCAATGGGAGGGGTTGGCTTCGGTGAAATATGGGAGATAAAGATCTAAGGTAACATAGACTAAATGTAAATTTTAAAAAATGATCTGAGGTGAGAATGTTGTGGAAATATGTAACCAATATTTTTAAGAACTGTTTTTTTCCATCAATTCAACATTGCTGTTATCCTGTTTCTAGTTTCACCTTAATATAGAAACAAAGCAATTCCAGTAAGATATATAAAATATGTGCAGGCATGATTCAGAGGAATAGAAAAAAGAATGAATAATTTGAGGAGGAAAAATATAATTGGGGTTATATATGTAGGATAAAGGTATATAAAACAAGCCCTTAAAAATAATGTTAACTGCCTTGAAAATGTTATTTTTAATGAGAAAGTAGATTAATGAAGACATTGGCCTTCACTTGTATTAGAAAGGATTTAGCAGAGATTTTATCTGAAGCAACTTCTTAGCATAGTGTAAATGAAATATTTGCCTGAGTATCGGGTTTAGAAGTTTCACTGAAAGGAAAAGAAACTTGACTTGCTGCCTCAAATTCTAGTAGCTGAAATTATATGAGGTGAAGTTTCCAACGCTGTCTCTTAAGATAGCCGACCTGGCCGGGCGCGGTGGCTCACGCCTGTAATCCCAGCACTTTGGGAGGCCGAGGCGGGCGGATCACGAGGTCAGGAGATCGAGACCATCCCGGCAAAAATGGTGAAACCCCGTCTCTACTAAAAAATACAAAAAATTAGCCGGGCGTAGTGGCGGGCGCCTGTGGTCCCAGCTACTTGGGAGGCTGAGGCAGGAGAATGGCGTGAACCCGGGAGGCGGAGCTTGCAGTGAGCCGAGATCCCGCCACTGCACTCCAGCCTGGGAGACAGAGCGAGACTCCGTCCCAAAAAAAAAAAAAAAAAAAGATAGCCGACCTTACCTTAATGAATTTTCCACAAACCTAAGTCAGATTCTTTGGGCAAAACTTGACTTATCCACAGACTCTAGTTCAATCACAAGCATAATCACAGTCTGTGAGACTGAAATCCATAATCAAAATGCCATTAAATTAACTTAAAACAAGAAGACTAACTGCTAAAGGGAGAGGAGGGTCTGGCCACCACACTGTGTGGGTAAGGTATATGGAGAGCCAAATTGTAAACTAGGATGCCAGTGTATTAATTTGTAATGAAAAAGTGTATTGCTGAAAGGACTGGACACTTCTGTTCTCTACCCCGCCAAATCTCCCCCTGCAGGGCTACCAGATGGGAAGCCAAATTAAAATCAGATGCTTGCTTCTTGGGCTTGGAATTGGAACAAGAGGAGTAAATGATAGGATTGCAAGTTCAGGGTAACAGGTCATCTTTGGACTGTGGAGCCCTTTCTCCTAGGCTGCCGATGGCTATGCACAAACTTGATCTTGTTTACTGTGCTTTCCCCTCCAGCTTCCCACTGACCCTTTGTTTTTTCTATAGTTCTGTTAATGTACTCAATCAGGCTACAGTGGGGTCTTGCTGGCCTGGGAGCTATTTAGTTCTCTTTGTGGTAATTTTGTTCCCATCTTTCCACTGAGTGTTGATATTTTAGTTTAACTCACAAGGCACAATCTTATTTTTGGAACTCTTCAGGGAGGCCCCCCTCAACCCAGCACTGACGATGTAAGACAACAGAGATGATTGCTTAAATGTTTTCCAATCCTACATCTCTGTGGCAAAAAGTTTTTTAACACTATATTATGGCACACAGATAACTGAATTTCCTTTCCAAAGAGTAGAAAAGACAAAGGAAAGGAAAATCTGGGTGGACTCAGAAGATGTGGCCTCTATAAAACTAAATCCTCAATCTTTTCTCATTTCTAAGAAGGGGAAAAATGATGATGATTGAGATGTTGGAATTCATTGTCAGGAAACTTGAATTTTTGCTCCCCATGGAGATCAAATGGAATATGCAGATGGAGTACTTTATTTCTTGGTAGCTTTTATAGATATTTTGATCATTTTCTTCATATTAGAGATTTCAATTTGAAATTGACTGTGAAGATATAGAAACACATGCTCAGCAGAAACGTCTTACGACATATTAAACCATTTTCTCCCTGGAAACTGTTGTGATAATAAATACTACCAACATAGAGGAAACCACTGGGGTGGATAAACCTTATTATCTATCTGTGCATTATTGTTAAAAATACTAAAATCAAGCCATGTGTGTTGCATGGAGTTCTACTGGAAAGCTATCATGTAATAATACAAAGGAAGATAAGAGAGAAGAAATACAAATGGGAGTGACTAGAGAGTAATACAATTAATTTATAGCCACATATATTAAATTTGTTTAATATTGACAGTAGATTTACCCCTGGGAAGGAGAAGAAGAAAACAGAATAGATTTTATTTTAAAGAACTCCTGAAACCTTACCGGATGTTGCCTAATGAGGTGATGTAACATAAAACATCACTCGATGCTGTATTTGCATACTGCCTTTTTCCCCTAAGAGATTGTTTTGAAAGAATAACAAAGAAACAGAAATGAGGTGGAAAACAAAATAACAAAGCATAAATATTTTCTCAGTGTTTGCAAATATTCATAATAATTTCCTATCCTCTGATTCATTAGTTCTCTCAAAAGCCCACCTGGATGTCCTCAGAATGCAAACTGATACTTAATTATTACATTGGGATCTAGATTCTTTATAGCTATGCCACTCGTGTGAAAAATATGCATATCTATTTAAGAGCTGTGCAAAGCAGTGGTGATGTGAGTTATGCCATTTTGCTCAACACAAGACAAACTCCTAAAAACAGCTTTAATGTAGACACAAACTGTTTTGATAAATAAAGCTAACTCTTAACAAGATTGTTCAGAGAAGACTGACTTTTTCAATGTATTCCTTTGTACCCTTTTCCTTTCAATGTAGAACCTTCTCTTCCTGCTGCTTCCTACAACCTTTTCCTCCTACAGTTTTCTGAGCAACTCCACTTATCCATAGAGAAAAAGATTTTGGCACTCTGATTTTCAGATTACTCTTAGCCCAAGGTCTACATATCTTTCCCTTCTTCCTCACCCTTCCCAATTTCACAGGAGACCCAGTGCTCCCTTGTCTCGCTTTAAATTCTTCCCTATAATAGGCCAGAAAGACTCTGACACCAGATGCATTGGATTTGTTTTCTAACTAAATTTTAGTATAAAAACATTTAAGTCTAGTGACATCACCTCGTGCGTATGGTTTTGCATTTAGTACCCTTCATATTCCATTTTGAAATTGGCCATTCACTCATTCATTCTCTGAACTGGTGCATATTGATCATCTGCTCTCTTTAAGGCACTAAGCTAACTTCTATGAGAGGTTAAAAAATAAGACCTGGTCCCTTAAGGCCAGTTAAAGACAAGGCCTATTAAAGATTTAATCTTCTACTAAAGACATTTCAAACAGCCTTTGCTTAAAGAGAAGTAAGATGGTAGGAGACTGGTTAGCCTCTGAAATCACATTATGCCTAATATTGGCCCTAAAAATATATTTTGTTGAGGTCTTTGTTAAGGGAGATATGGGGATATGGGGCAGATGAAATCACAGCATACTCTTCCTCTGTCAGAATTCTCATGCCCCCCTATTGCACACCCACCAACCCAACAAACACACACATTAAGATATAATTACTTATACCCAGACTTCTGTTTGCAAGGGGCTGCTGTCCTGCCTATGGCTATTGAAAACCTATTTCTCCATGATGTACCTATCTTTCCTGGGCCCTTTACCTATAATATGCACTTCCCTCCTCTTCCAGTCATGTAGTAGATATAATCCTCCAGTTAACCCAGCCCCTAACTTCAGTGTTTTATTTTGTCTCAAAAATCCAAATATTTCCATCGAATATTTGGTGTACTTTTTAGAGAATGCCGTGTCATTTTTTTTTGTAATTCTTCTTTTCTAAAATTCTTGAATTTTAATTTTAAGCGGTGCATTTTTATTTCTGAAAATCAAATTTGGCTAATGAAGTGTTTAGCCCAATCCAGTGAAGCTCAGCTCCCTCTTTGAGCCACAGTCTGTGCTGTCTAACGAACCTTCACTGAACTCATGGGTAGTACAATTTAGTAGTGGTATTTCAGTAGTACCTGTTGTATGCCTCGACAAGGCTTTGGAGAAAATTCCTCTGTTCTGATTTCCAAATTCAGCTCTTTTCTCTGCTAATTGCTTCTTCTTCTTCTTTTTTTTTTTTTTTTAGACGGAGTCTTGCTCTGTCACCCAGGCTGGAGTGCAGTGGCATGACCTCGGCTCACTACGACCCCTGCCTGCTGGGTTCAAGTGAGTCTCCTGCCACAGCCTCCTAAGTAGCTGGGATTACAGGTGTGTGCCACTACGCCTGGCTAATTTTTGTATTTTTAGTAGAGACGGGGTTTCACCATGTTGGTCAGGCTGTTCTTGAACTCCTGACCTCGTGATCTGCCCACCTCGGCCTCCCAAAGTGCTGGGATTATAGGCGTGAGCCACGGCGCCTGGCCCATTGCTTCTTGATATAAGTACTAGCTATTCTACAGCCTGCACCATGACGTAGCCCTACCTAGTAGAAACTTTGAGTTAGATTGCAGTCATCAAAGCCATTTGCCCTTCCTTTGTCTCTAATAAAATTACCAAGGACCTCTCCTTAAGTAGTCTATCATCCTAAACTCTCAGGAGATACCTCTGAGTCTTGGTTTTCTTTAAGGTTTGCAAGAAAGGCCAATCACTCCTTTCTTAGAACATTTAATACCACTTTTTAACTTATTTCCTATAATACCAAGATGGCACACATATTAATCAAAAACACAAACCCTCCCGATCTGACATAATGTAGATGCAACATTACACACTTTGCCCAGTAAGTACCCTCTCCACCTCAAGGATCCTTTGCCCTTTACAAACCATGTTTCAGGTTCTCCATCTCTATCACAGCCTGAAGGGCAATGTCCCAATGTATTCAGGAATCATTTAGACTATGATGGGATGGCACAGTCCCTACATCTGCTACCAAATCAAGGAGCTGATTAACAGTGCATTGCAGCTCTTGGCAAGAGTTAGAGTAGGAAATAAAATTAAGGTGTAGGGGTTAGGCAGGAAATTCAGATAAAACTACTTGGGAAATGTAGCTAAGCAAGATATAATTATCTAACTTATAATTAGACTAGAACATCAGGCCTCCCATCCCTAAAGGCTTCTTTTTGCAAAGAGACAAGTGATACCATCAGGTAGCAGATGGTATTCTTGTATGGGTGCGAGTGAGTGATGAACACTTCTTACCTTAAGAATTTGGTTGTAGGAATTATTCCTACTGGTGATAACTTGCTAGCTTAATAGTTCATTATTTCTGTGTCTTCCATTCCTTTGGGCTAGTACACTTATTAAATTAGAAAGGTGGGGTGGTCTGCAAAATTTCAGTGACATCTCTACAGGCTAGCTATTGGCCTCTGCCATTTGATCATCTCAAACTATCTAGCAAATTAATACAACCAACGAAAGCCGACAGACTACATTGATTTGAATATAACTCCAATTTTTTTATTGTATTTCTTAAAAGTTCTATGACATACTTTAGTTTGCAGAAAACAGAAAGTTACTTAGTTTTAGAGCGTGATTTTTTTTGTCTCACTGGATGTTTCTGGTTTGTTTGTTTGTTTGTTTGTTTGTTTTTGAGACCGAGTCTCGCTCTGTCGCCCAGGCTGGAGTGCAGTGGCGCGTTCTCGGCTCACTGCAACCTCCACTTCCCGGGTTCAAGTGATTCTCCTGCCTCAGCCTCCTGAGCAGCTGGGATTACAGGTGCCCACAACCACGCCCGGCTAATTTTTGTAATTTTCGTAGGGACGGGTTTCACCATTTTGGCCAGGCTGGTCTCCAACCCTTGACCTCGTGATCCACCCGCCTTGGCCTCCCAACGTGCTGGGATTACAGGCGTAAGCCACCGTGCCCAGCTGAATGTTTCTGTTTTAAAGATCCTTGCATGTGGCTCTGTATGTAACCCTGTCCTTGCAAAGTTGTTAGAAAAAGATAAATGAACTCCCATTGGTTTAAGGAATTGACTGTGAAGAGCGTGATGTAATCTAAAAATCAGAACACCAAAACTTGTTTCCTCTTTGGATAAGTAGAATTGGTCAAAGAACAGAGTTTATGACTTCTCTTCACATAAAAGATGACATTATCTATGATGAAAGACCTAGTTCTTGATTTTCTTCAGATTCCACATGGACATCTTACTTGCTAAAAGCAACGTGGCCAAACAATTTCTGCCTGTAGCAAATTGTTTTCAGTTATGTTTCCTCACGAAGTAGTATCCTGAAATTACCAGTTTGCATACTGTTTGCAATTATTACTACAAATGCAGTTTAGCTTTTGTGTAAATGAATGAATTTTTATTGTATATATTTAAGGTATAGAACATGATGTTTTCATATATACATACATAGTGAAATAATTACTGTAGTCCAGCAAATTAATATATCCACCACCTAATATTTAGCTTTTAAAGCCCTTTAATTTCTAAATGTGGAATTGGTTCATTTATTTACTTATTTATCCATTCTATAACTCATTAATTCTTTGTACCAACATTTGCTGAATATGTACTTTGTGTAAGTCACTTTGTTAAGCTCTCTGGAAAATAAAAACAAAGTTCAATTTTCTGTGTAGTAAAACGTGTTTAACCACAAGACATTAACAGAGTACTAAATTAATAGAAATTTTTCATGTCAACTAGTGCATTATTTTGTTATGGCTTCCATCACTAAGTACCATAGACTAGATGGCTTAAACAGCAGATACTGGTTTTCTCTCAGTTCTCCCAGTGTGACTATCAGGATTCTAATCCTGTTTTTGTATTTGTATTAAAAAGTGATAGAACGTATAGTCAAGACGGATGGATTAAATTGTTCATCTCGCCCCTAAGAATTAAGAGTTTTTGTTGGTGGTGGTTTGTTTGTTTCATCTCTGGCTGACAGGAAGAGTGAAGAAGAGAACGCTGTTTCCTCGTAGCCCCAAATAACATTTCACCTACTTCTAAAGCTGCTGTGAGGTATGCAAGGTCTTACATAAAGAGAAAAATCTGTCTCAAAAATCTGCCTCAAGATTGTGGAGTCTTGCTCTCCTTGCATTCTTTTGGTTTTTCTGCCACAATTTTGAGACTTATCCTAGGAATTCAGTTCAGCCTTTTTTTCGCCTTCAAAATAAGCACATTTGGCTGCTTATTTTGCAGCAGCCAAAACGAAGCATTCGGAGATGTTATTGTTGTTGTTCTTCTCTATCGGTCCAGTACAGTTCCTTTTCTTCTTTTATTCCTAGGAAATCTCTTTGAATCTACTCTGTAAATAGAAATGGCTTCCCACCACACAGTGAAAACCAAAATCCTTATCTTGACTTTACAGGGTCTTTCATGGTCTGGCCCTGCCTGTATCCGGCCTCCTCTCTCACTCTTCCTCTTGCTACGTGGCTAGAAGCAAGAAAACAGGGAATCTAATCTAGTTTTATCTGGCTCTAAACCCACTGCTCTTAATCAATACACTGCAATGCCCTTGTAAGTTATTTACCTCTCTCCCATACAGTACGTGCCAGGTGGCCCATAGTTCTAGCTCCTATCTCCAACCTGAAACCAATTATTTTCACAAAGTCACATTGATTAAAGTATAATATTTACAGAGGTATGTGTAAGAGTTGTAGATGCAAAGTTTGATTGCTTTTCACAAAGTAGATGCCACTGCATAACCAAAATCCAGACCAAATTTTTACCTGTGCCCCAATGAACCCCTTATAACCCTTTCTGAAACCTACCCCACCAAGTAACCACTATTCTGACTTCTGAAACTATAGGTGTATTTTCCTGTTTATGAAGTTTAACTCTTAATTTAAGAGTATTAGATATACTGTTTTGTGTCTAGCCTGTTTTGCTTAATATTAAATTTGACAGATTCACCTATGCAGAAGATAGTATAGTTCATTCTCATTACTGTGTATGTGAGTATATTACAAATTGTCTCCTATTTTACCGTAGATGGATATTTGGGTTGCTTCTAGTTTGGAAGAAATTCAAATACTGCCACTAGAAACATTCTTGAATATGTCTTGTGGTGAATATATATTCTTTTCCTTCCTCTTATTTTTAAACTTCTATTTTAAGTTTAGGGATACAAGGGCAGAGGTTTGCTACATAGGTAACTTGTGCCATGGGTTTGTTGTACAGATTATTTCATCACCGAGGTATTTCATCACCTTAGTACCCATTAGTTATTTTTCCTGATCCTCTCCCTCCTCCCATCCTCCACCCTCTGAGAGGCCCCAGTGTGTGTTTCCCTCTGTCTGTCCATGTGTTCACATCATTTAGCTCCCACTTATAAGTGAGAACATGCAGTATTTGGTTTTCTGTTCCTGTGTTAGTTTGCTAAGAATAATGGCCTCCAGCTCCATTCATGTTCCTACAGAGGACATGACCTCATTCTTTTGTACGGCTGCATAGTATTCCATGGTGTATATGTACCACATTTTCCTTAGTCAGTCTATTATTGATGGGCATTTAGGTTGATTCCATGTCTTTGTGTATTCTAACAGTTTACATCACTATCAGCAGAGGATGAGAATATTAGAGTTCTCATTACTCTGTATGCTTCTCAGCACTTAATAGTGTATCTATATCATTTGAGCCATTCTCATGAGTATGTCATAACACTACCTCTTTTTATAGACCTTATTTTTCCTTAAAGTAACTAATTTATTTTAGCTGTAGGACGAAAGCAGAAAACTCAGACAAAAGAGAAATATTACCTTTAGCAAAACAATCAGAAATGAGATATCAAAAATCACCCGAAATATACTACCTAAAGAAGACTAATAACATTTCCAGCGTTAGTCGGTTAGACCTTTCCTTTGTTTGTGCTTTCAAGTACAGTCATGTGCTGCATAACAACATTTCGGTCAACTACAAGGCACACGTGTGACGGTGGTCTCAGGAGACTACAATGGAACTGAAAAATTCTTAACACCTAGTGATGTCCCAGCTGTCGTAGCTGTAGCCCACCACATTACTCATGTGTGTGTGGTGATGCTGGTGTAAACAAACCCACTGTGCTTCCAGTCATATAAAAGCATATCACATACAATTACAAGCAGTATATAATGCTTGATAATGAAAATCAACTATGTTACTGGTTTATGTATTTACTATGCTATACTTTAATTGTTATTTTAAGGTGTATTCCTTGTACTTCTTTTTAGGTTTGCTGTAAAACCGTATTCAGTGTTATGCCAGCAGCAGCCTCATACATCCCATGTTTACTGTGTCTCTTGACTGTATCATGTTCTTTTGTGCTTAATTTAATTACACATTATTTTATTCATCACGGTCCTTAATCATCAAAATTCATGGCTAATGTGTCAGAAAGAGGCCCTGTCCTGTGATTGACCTGAAAGCTAAATTAAAAGTGAATAAGAGGTACAAAGATGGAAAATCAGTAATGGTTATTGCTCACCAGTCAGGTCTGTCCCATTCCACCATAGCCATGATCTCAAAGAATGAGAACAAAATGATGGAAGCTGAAAAGATCTTCTTCATTGAAGGCAATGAGACTAACAACAGTTCAGGAAGAGCCTATATCAGATATGGAGAAACTTCTAATGACCTGGAATGAAGACCAGTCACAGAAGTGAATTCCTCCCAGCACCATGATGATCACAGCCAAGCAAGAAGTTTGTTCGCAATGTTGAAAGAAAAGGCTGGACCCAACTACAATGTTGAATTTACTGCTAGCTCTGGGTGGTTTAAATGATTCAAGAACTGTTTTTCATTACGTTATGTGAAAGTAAGTGGTGAGTCTGCAAGTGCTGATGTGAAGACAGCTGAAGAATTTCTGAAAACTCTAGTTTTCAGTTGATTAGTGATAAGTTGATTGTGAGGGGGAATTACTTGTCAGAGCAAATCTTCAGTATGAAGGAAACCTCTGTATTCTGGAAACCAATGCCTTAAAGCACTATTATCCCTAAGGGGGCCAAGTCAATGCTGGATGTCAGGTTTTTAAGGACAGAATAACCATCTCACTTTGGAGAAATGTTGCAGGCTACAAATAGAAACTTTTAATGATATGGCACAGTGACGACCCCAGGGTCTCCAAGCATATCACTAAACACGCACTGCTGGTAAACTAGAGGAGCCATAAGAAGTCATGGATGACCCAGCTCCTTTCCAAGACGCCCTTCTGAATTACTATGCCAGCAAAATGAGAAGTACTATTGGAGAATAACATACCTTTCAGGATTTGCTTATTGTTGGTGATGGTCCCACACATGCTCCTTTTATTGGTGATCTCCATCCCAATATCAAAGTAATGTTTTTCCCTCCAAACACCACCTCTTTGATTCAACCATTGCATCAAGGCATTAAAGCACTTTTTAAGGCCTATTACCTGAGAAGGACTTTTACCCAGGCTGCTGCTGCAAAAAAAAAAAATAATAAAAAAAATAAAATAAAAAAATAAAAGATACCAATGCAATTCTGGAAGGATTACGACATCTCTGACTGCACCAAGAATCTTGCTTGGGCTTGGGGTGGTGTCACTAAGGAGTGTATAAATGGCAGCTGGAAGAAGATACTCAAGAGGTTCATCAATGACTTCAAATGATTTGCTCAGGATGAGCAGGTTGGAAAAATCAACAAGGTGGTGGTTGAACTGGCAGACAACTTGAACGTGGGTGTGGATGAGGATGACATCGAGGAGCTCCTGGAGGTTCTTGAGAAATTGACTAATGAGGAGTTGTTGGAATAGAACATATAGCTGAAGAAGAGGCAACAGAAAAGGAAACTGCAGGAGAAGAAAAGGAAAACCCCCAAGGAAATTCACAGTGAAAGGTTTAGAAGTTTTTACAGACCTCAACAAACTCCTTAAAAAGTTTAAAAACGTGGACCCCAAAACTGAATGGTTCGTTCATAGAGGAATGTTCATAGTGCATTGTCTACTGATAAGAAAATCTATGATTAAAGAAAGAAAGAAACCCAGCAAAACTTCATAAACATATTTCTGAAAAGAGTGACACATCTTTAAAAAGAGCCTTAAGCAGGTCCTTCAGGAGCCATTCCAGAAGCAGGCATTGTTATCACAGTAGACAGCAGCTCCATGGGTGTCAGTGCCCCTGAGAACGTCCCAGTGGGACAAGGTGTAGAGGTGGAAGACAGCAGTAGTGACCCTAACCCTTTATAGGCCTAGGCTACTGTGTGTGTTTGGGTCTTAGTTTTTAACAAAAAAGTTTAAAAAGTAAAAATAAAAAATTAAAGATTGAAAAAATATTTAAAAATCTTAAGGTAAGGATATAAAGAAAGAAAATATTTTTGTACGGCTGTTTGTGTTTCAAGCTAAGTGTGATAAAAGAGTAAAAAATAATTAAAATTTATAAAGTAAAAATTTATAATAAGCTAAGGTTAATTATCAAAGAGAAAAGTTTTCTATATATTTAGTGTGGCCTAAGTGTCCAGTGCTTCTGGCATCTACAGTAGTGTGCGGTGATGCCCTAGGTGTTCACATCCTGTCACCACTCACTGACTCACTCAGAGCAACTTCCAGTCCTGCAAGCTCCATTTTTGTTAAGTGCCCTATATAGGTGTGCTTTTTTTTTATCTTTTATATTAATTTTTACTGTATTTTTTCTATGTTTAGATATACAAACACTTACCATTGTGTTACAGTTGCCTAAGGTATCCAGTACAGCAACACACTGTACAGGTTTATAACCTAGGAGCAATAGGCTATACCATATAGCCTAGCTGTGTAGCAGGATATACCATCTGGGTTTAAGTACATTCTATGATGTCCATACAAAGATGAAATTACCTAATGATGCATTTCTCAGAACATACCCCCACTGTTAAGGGACACAAAATAAGATTTTACACAAAATCTTGTTACTTCATATAACAAAATGCAACATAAAACTTTCAAAACAAATAAATACACTTATGCCCCATAAATGTTAATGTGAAAATCATATTTCATCAAAAATCTATATTACTATGTTAAAATGAACAGCCTTGTAACATATCTTTGCATAGGTCCCTAATTAATTTTCTTAAAATAAGTCCCAAAGTGGAATTCTTGTGTCAAAAACTATGTATTTTGTTACAGCTTTCGAAGACTACTGTTAGACAATATTGTACCCTGACCAACTATATGCTACCACCATCCTACATTTTTACCCAAGCTGGATGTGGGAATTCTTATTTAGGTCATTGTGACACTAGTTTATTGGTAGTCGTTACTGGTAGTGAAACAATGACTCCAATTCACTTCCCAGCCAGCCATCCTGGAGGGGCTCTGGGTGCCCGGGCAAGCCCCAGCCTCTCATCTGCATGCTCAATTCCACTCTTCTTTTGTTTCCCATTGGCACCACCATTGTCCGCCTCCTGGACTCATCTCTTGGTCTTCTCCATCCTTCCAGCTATTCCAGCTATCATATCATGACCATATCAGGCTTGGACTCCCCCCTAATATTTATTCGCTACCATAAACTAAATTATGTTTTCCATCCTAAGCACAAACATTTCACTAACACCCGTCATCTGTTTGTGAGGCAGCAGCAGGAGCAGGTAATCCACGGTTCTGCTTTCTCTGTACTCTTCTAGAAATAGGGGAGCTTAGATTCTCCCTGGATCCCATCTTCTAGAGATGGCATTACTGGTCTCATATTCTATTTTCTTTCATGTATTGAAACTTTTGTTATTAATAGCTTCTGACTAAAGTGAAAATGTCAATGTGTAAAATATGTGGGGTAATGTGTTCCACAATATACAGAGAAAAGCTCTGAAACAGTCTCCTGTAATTCTGGATTTTCTGTTTTCTTCTTGTTTTTTAAATTTCCGGGTTCTTGAGTCCATGTGGTCTAAGTCCTGCATTAATCCTGAACACATGGCAGCAGGGATAAAGGGAAGACCTGAGGTCCGTGTTCCAATTCGCCAGGGATGTGAATGCCCTGGACGTTCTCCTTCTGATAGGGACAGGAGGCAGAGAAATTCTAGGCAGAAAAGGGTGGATCCCCAACAAAACCCCACCCTCAAGCCTGGGAACACAGTCCAAAGTGAGAACTTACATCTCTGTTTCTGGCTCAAATATTTCCTTTTCCAAAACCATGTGTGGCCCTGCCCCATCCTGTGCCTATAAAAACCTCATACTCAACCAGCAGAGAGAGGTGAAGCAGCTGGACATCAGAGACTGTGGCTGGATGTTGGAGAGAAGTGGCTTGACTTCAGAGGGAGAGCTTGACAGCATAACTTTGGAGAAGAATCTGGCCAGAGATGGCCAGACGTCAGGGGAAGATTACCTTCCCATTCCATTTGCTTTTCAGCTCCCCTTCCAACTGAAAGCCACTTCCATTGGCGGTAAAATCCCCGACAGTTGCCATCCTTCAGGTTGTTCATATGACCTCATTTCTCCTGAATTCCAGGCAAGAGCCTGGATACCACTAGTGTGGATAAAAAAGGCTGTCACACTTGCCCTGTGCCCCTGCTGGAGGGCAGCCACCTCATGTGAGTAGGCAGAGGGACGACTCAGCTGTTAACACTCAAGCCGTCCACGGATGGCAGAGCTAAAAGAGCACTGTAACACTCCCTCTGGAGCTTCAGGGGTCATGGGCATCACGCCAGACTCTGCCACGGGGCCTGCATGAAGTTTGCTCCTGCTGGTGCCCAAAAGCACTGGCTCTCGGCTCCTGCCTCCACTTACCCGTG
The DNA here is from genome assembly GCF_000001405.40 of Homo sapiens. Classification (NCBI taxonomy): domain Eukaryota; kingdom Metazoa; phylum Chordata; class Mammalia; order Primates; family Hominidae; genus Homo; species Homo sapiens. The sequence goes on from NC_000007.14 coordinate 147,671,072, forward strand.
TGCTCCTTCCCATGAGTGGTGGAGCACAGCGGATCCGAGTGAGTGGAGCTGGCTCCTGCCTGCGCTGAAGCAGCCAGTTGGTTCCAGTGTTTGCGCACTCCAGTTCTCACCTCGTTCATTTCATGCTCTTTCCTGCAAGGAGTTGACGGCTGTGAGCTGGGCAAATGAGGCACCCGGTTGCAAGTTCCATGAAAGGCTCGGGGAAATATCCTGCTTCACTTCCATATGGAGCTAGTGCTTTGTAAAGTGCACTGACAATAACAAAGTGTAGAGGAGGACCGGACACAGGCTGAACTGAGCTTCTTGAAAAGGCTGCAGCTCTCAGAACAACGCTGAGAAAACTGGTCCTTCAGCTATAGACACAGAGTCAAGAACTCCATTTTTCAAATTATATCTCATGAAAAGCTGGTGTCCAGTGACGTTTATCTGAGAAAAAGAAATTTTTTTTTGGCCAAAATAACTAGATAGATTTTTGTTAGACTTTATAATGAGAATTATGAATTTCCTGAAAGTGGGATGGAATACAGAATGTTCCCCAAATTGTTTCCATGGAACAGCTAATAGCACATAGAGCATGCGTATTTGCTGTGACATGATAAAGCTCAAGGCCAGAGATGTCTTGTGGGGCTCCCAAGTACTCTAACCTCAAGGTGCATGCCCTCCACTCACTAATTGGCTCCTCTGGCTGTGATCGAGCTCCAAAAGGGAAGGAGGCTAATTCAAATGGGATGGCCCCAAAATAAGAGGAATAGTGTGCATTTAAACCAGGATATGGGCTATACCTGCTTACAGTACCCTTTATGCAATCTCCAGTTCATTAACTCTAGTAGATATTGTGAAGATACTATCAAAAAAAGGTTATGTTCCCCCAAATTAGGGAAGCCCTAAGGGATTCCGTATCTCCTTTTTGTACAGAGTTTGTTAGAAAATCAGATACTGGTCTGAGAAAAATGCTGATTCAGATGGTCAAGAGACTAAAAAAAAGTACTTTAAAACATCAGAATGAAATCACTGAAGGCAATCCTTAGCTTTATGATGTGCTGTACTCCTGGACAAGATGGTGTAAGTTGAGATGATATGTCAAATCTGATTTTTCTATAGGAAAAAATTGTACTTTAGGGAGGTATAGTTCTAGCCATGTTCTTAATACCCAAAAGTTAATCAGAATTACCACAAATGATCTACTCATTCAAATATAAGTAGCCCACAAATACCATGTTAAACTTTCTAAATTTGAATTGTTTAAAAAAGCAAAGTTATAGAAAATGACATTTATGACCCATTATCAGAAGCTTTAGATCCAATATTAGAATATTAGAGGCTTTTGTGCTAAACTCTTTTCTTTCTTATAAATTCTAGCCTTTATTTATCTATTTTAGGAGGGCATGTGGCAAAGCATGGCAGGGAATTCTTTCAAAAGTGGAATCCAGGAAGAAAATTCCTTGGGAAACTTTGGACTGGATTCTCAACAAACCCTTCAGAGAGACTTAAAGCCGGTAAAAGACCTTTTGCAAAAGTGATCCGGGGGGCCTCCACTTTGTTTCTCTGGATATTTCTCTGTTGAAATATAGGTGTCAAGCACGTCCCATTTTAGATGCTCTTCAGACTTCAAAACATTACCTTCCTGCTTTCAGGGAGCCATTTCATCAGCTTTTGTACTGTGTATTCACTGCAGACCCTGCTGTTATGCAAGGTACCACCATGGCTAAAAATTCACAAGACGATTCTTAGTTGCACTGATTTTTTTTTTATTTGATCTTTCACAATGTTGCTGCTTCCGTTTCAAAAACGTCTCAAAGCTTTGATTTGATTGCAGCTGGATTCAAGGATACCCAAAGCCAAGTTTGATCCTGAATTCCCCAAATCAAAAGTATTTCATTTCAGATGTATGTTCTATACCTGGCCATAATAATGAACAGCAACCATTACTGGAGCATGCTTTTGATTTTTTTTTCATTAACAGTCATTTTTATGATTTGGAAACATAATTAGAAGATTCCTATTCCAGACTACAAATCAATGGATTTGATTCTACTACACATTTGCCAATAAAGAGCAATGGTATCAAATGAAGCATTTGACCTGTCTTTAAATTTCTTTCATTCTGTAAATTCTACATGAGGTATGATATATGGAGCCAACTGGCTCCTCTGCCACACTGCTGCAGTTCAGTTGTTGGTATTGTCTGGAAGGAAAAAACGAAGTTGTGGAAGTGTGTGAGTTAGTTGGAGGTAATTACCATGTAACTGATTATCATTCATGTTCTGAGCGCTGTGCTATTACATACATTATTTTATTTCATCCTTGCAACATCCTTATTCCTATTTTTCAGCTAAGTAAAAAATGAGGCTCAGAATAGTGAAGTAATTATCCACGGAGAGGGAAGATCAGCAGTATAGATTAAGTTGGAATAAATCTAAAGCTCATCCTCTTTCACTATAGCATGCTGCTTTCTAGCTATATAAGAAAAAAACCTCATTATTCTATTACCCCATTGAGAAAGTACTGTTCTCTCTTGTTCAGCTGTCTGCTTTACTTAGCTCCGATGAAATCTAAATTAAATGCTCTGCTGCTGATGATGTTGGTAACACTCTGGTGGTACTAACCATAGTTCTGGGGAGTGAATGGGAAGAATGGCCAAGACTGGAGATGGGGACATTAGATTTTGAGACACAGACCAACTGAAATGAGACTGTGTTTTCTGTTAATAATAGGAATTTAAATGAATCATTGAAAAATCAGAGAAAGTTTTCTGAAATATAGGAAGCAAATGCTACCTATACTTCTTTATATCTTTCAAATTAAAAAATAATTTTCAATACATGTTAAATGGTACAAAAATCAGTGGGGCTTTTTTAAAAATTCAAGCTTTATAAGAAAAAATAATAAAACATGTGCCAAATATGTCTGAATACTATTAAATGTAAATGGTGTATCATTAAATGCACTGGCTGTTTGGGAGAGGTGTAATAAACAAGAGACACATTGTAGCTATGACCGTGACGATTTACTTTTTTTAATTCTGGAGGAAATTTCAAACTGTGGAATATATAAGCAGAAAGGAAATGAATAATGCATCTAACTAGCATGCGATAGTAAGCCTCACTCCCGTTGTGGACAGACAATATACAAGAAAAGATTTTGGTGGAAAGATGTAGGTGCTATTTAAGGGGAGGATATTCTTTATTGAAAACATATCCAGCAACATCTGAATGCCAAATAAAAGTCTTTACAGTTTCATCTCTCCTTAGAGAGCATATTTTTTAGTTGTTGTTTTGTTTGGGAGAAAATTGCAGTTTAAGATTTACAAACCACTTCATTTGCAAACTGCTATTACTATAGTTTCTGCCTCTGAAAATGTTTAAAGCTGCAGGCAATGAAAAGACATATTATTAGAGCTTTTCCTTATAAAGAAAGCTCTCATTCTATTGTAAAAAATGAGCGTATAAAAATACAATATTATTTATAGAGTTATTTATATAAGCAGCATTTTGATGTGCCTTCCTGAGGCTTGGAGATATTAGAAAGCAGAATATCTGAGAAAACATATTTCACTTCGTTGTTTAAATGCAATAGAGATCAAGAGATTATCTTCATCATGATAAGATTCAAAGAAATTTACACTGGTAATTGGAGCTTGTCCATAGAATTTATTCCTTATTACAATATAGACTATAGGTTGTTACATTTTTTTCCTTAAGGGAGGTAAGGTTAGATTTTTCACTATTTAGGTTGAGACTCTTTAGTTGATAACTGAAAGTTTTCTTTTAGCATTCAATTTGTTCTTGAATTATTTTTTATTTCAGCATATCTTTCTAAAAATTATGCATGATCAGCTCTTTTTTTTTTCCATTTTCCTATCAGCTGTTTATCTTAGATCTTCATTCATGGATGTGTTAGTTTCCCAGGATTGCCAAAACAAATCACCACAAACTTTGTGTCTTAAAACAACAGACATTTATTCTCTCAGCAGTTCTAGAAGCCAGAAGTTTGATATCAAGGTATTCATAAGGCCAAACCTCCTTCAAAGGCTCCAGGGAAAAATCCTTCCCTGCCTCTTCCATATTCTGGTGGCTCCAGGCTTTTATTGGCTTTTGGTGGTATCACTCCAATCTCTGCCTCCGTCTTCACAAGGCCTTCCATTCAGTGTCTCAAATCAAATCTCTTTTCTCTTATAAGAACACCAGTCACTTGACTTAGGGCCCACCCAAATCCAGGATGATTAATTTTGAGATCCTTAACTTAAACATATCTGCAAAAATCCAACTTTTCAATTTCCGAATAAGATCACATTTCCAGGTGCTAAGGTATATTAGTCAGGGTTCCCCAGAGAAACAGAACCAAGGGGATATCTAAATGACCCTTATGGGAGACCACTAGTGTCGATCCTGGTTCAACTCTAAAGGCCTGAAAATCATGAGTGCTGATATCTGAGGGCAGGTACTCAGAAAGAAGAAATTTATTCTTTCTCCACCTTGTTTTAAATTCAATCCCTCCATGGATTGGATGATTCGCACATTGGTGAGGTGGTCTTCTTTACTCACTGTACTGATTCAAATGCCAATCTCTTCTAGAAACACTTCACAGACACACCCAGAAATGATGTTTTACTAGCTATCTAGGCATCCTTTAGCACCATCAAGTTGACACATAAAATTAACCATCACACAGGGGTTAGCGTTTGGGCATGTATTTTAGAGGGATTCAGGTGAATGTATTACAAGATGTGAAAAATAGACTTTGGAGTTAGGCAAAACTGAGTGAAAAACATGGATCTGCCACTCACATTGAGGAATTATGATCATGCCCATAATTCTTTAGAGCACAAGTTTCCCCCTTTTAAAAATAACGATATTTTAATAATTGTGATGATACTAGCTTCACACATGTTGTATTAGATAATAGCGTGCATTGTAAGATAATATGTATAAAGCAATTAGCTCCCTGCTTTGCCAATAAATGGCCATTGTTAATTTATTGATTATATGGATTTTATTTTTCTAATTAGAGTAATTCCATTGACTTCAATTTCTATAGAGTTCTTCTTTCCTTTTATGCAGCAGAAGTTACAAAAGAGAATGTGACATGAATCATATCTGTATTGAAAATAGACATACGATGACTAATTTTGTTCTAAATGAAGAATGTTTTCTTATGGAATTATTGTAAGAATTAAATGGAAAAAAATGTATGTGAAGTACTTAGCAGTTAGCATTTAGTGTTAGCTACTATTATCAACAATTCCCTAAAACCTGCTAGGGTTACAGTAACCATGGCAACACAAACTCTATTTTATTTAGTAATATATTTATTTGCTAATTGACAAACAAAATTGTATTTGTTCACTATATATAATATATTGTTTTGAAGTCTATATACATTATGGAATGACTAGGTCTAGGTAACTAACATATGCACTGCCTCGTATAGTTATCATTTTTGTGGATATTTTGCATTCATTCTCTTAGCATTGTTTAAGAATACAATATATGGCTAACTATAGTCTCTGTGTTGTATGATAGACGTCTTTAACTTCCTCCTATCTAATTGAAATTTCGTATTCTTTGACCAATATCTTCCCAACCACCATCCACCAACTACCCCAGCCCCTGGTAACTACCATTCTATTCTCTACTTATATGAGATCAACTTTTTAAGATTCCATTTATGAGGGCAATCATGCAATATTTGTCTTTGTTCCTTTGGTTGGTTTGTTTCACTTAACATAAGGTCCTCCAGGTTCATCCATGTTGTCACAAATAACAAGATTTCCTCCTTTTTCATGGCTGAATATAGTATTCCACTGTGTATACATACAGCATTTTCTTTATCCATTCACCCATCAATGGATACTTAGATTGATTCCATCTCAGCTGTTGTGAATAATGCTGCAGCGAACGTGAGAATGTAGATATCTCTTTGACATACAGATTTCATTTCCTTTGGATATATACTCAGTAGTGAGATTGCTGGATCACTTAGGAGTTCTGTTTCATTAATTTTTTTTTTTTTGAGGAACCTCCATACTGTTTTAAATACTGGCTAGTTTACATTATCACCAACATCAGGCAAGTTCTCCTTTCTTTACATCCTCACCAACACTTGTTCTCTTTTGTCTTTTTGACGTTCTGAGAAGTATGAGGTCATGTCACATTGTAGTTTTAATTTGTCTTTCCCTAATGATTAGTGATGTTGAGCATTTTTTCATATAGCTATTGACCATTTTGTATATCTTGTTTAGAGAAATTTAGAGTCATGGCTCATTTTTAAATTGAGCTATTTGTTATTCTTTGTTTGTTCTGCCATTGAGTTGTTTGAGTTCCTTGTTTATTTTGGATATAAACCCCTTATCAGATGTGTAGTTTGCAAATATTTTCTTTCCCCCATTCTGTAGGTTTTCTCTTTACTCTGTTGATTGTTTCCTTTGCTGTAGAACAGCTTTCTATTTTGATGCAGTCCTATTTGTCTATCTTTGCTTTTGTCGCCTGTGCTTTTGAAGTTATATCCAAAAATCGTTGCTCAGAAAAATGTCATGTAGCTTTTTTTTCTATGGTTTTTCAACGAGTTTCACAGTTTGGGGTCTTATATTTCAGTTTTTAATCCATTTTAAGCAGATTTTTATATATGGTGTGAGATAAGGATCTAATTTTATTATTCTATATGTGGGTATCCAGTTTTCCCAGCACCATATATTAAAGAGACTCTCCTTTCTCCATGGTGTGTTCATAGTACCTTTGTTGAATATTATTAGTTATAAGTGCATAAATTTATTTCTGGAGTTCCTATCTTGTCTCATTGTTCTACACGTCTGTTTTTATGCCAGTGTTGTGATGTTTTGGTTACTATAGCTATGTAGTATATTTTGAAATCAGGGAGTGTGATGCTTCCAGTTTTGTTCTTTTTGCTCAATATCACACACTCCTTTCTAAACCTCATCATCGTTTAGGGTATATAATACAATTAATAAATGCATATATAATTATATGTCTTTTCAAATAATTGATAACCTAAACTTGATAACCAATCATAGTTTTACATACTAACTGGCAGTTCCTTTCTATCTTGCCCTGAATCTTATTTTATAGACATACATTTCCAGGATGTTACATGAGCCTTCAGTTTAGCTCATCAATACTCAGCTATCCAAAATTCCTCATTGCCTTGCAGCAGTTTTTCCCAATACCAGGGCCATGTTCTTAGCTGGCTTTGAAAAATGTTTTGAAGAGGCATCTTCTCCAGAAATCTTTTGAGACTGATCTCCCCAAATATGAATGGTGCTAGGATTATTTTACTAATAATTGAACCTTCTAATGCTTTTCTCTTTGTTATTGATTTCTTTTGTGGCATTAATTTTTAAAGTGCTTGATTTCCCAGTTGATTATTTGCTATATTAATCATATGTCTTTCAAGGTCTTGGCTTTGTTAATACTGTCTTAACTGACTACAGAATGAAGACTTCTAACTTTCAGGTAAGGATTCCGCGTTTTTTATTCAGGACAGGTCCAAAAAATGGCAAGATAACAGCAAGGGGATTCATTTGCCTGCAGGCAGTTTGGTTAAAATTCTCCCTTAGTTCTCATATACACATTATAATTTGCATTTTAATTTTACTGTCTTCACAACCACGAAAGCATATTTAGGTAAAAGTGCTAATTAGATCTTTGTAAACAACCATATGTTATTTTGGTTTATGAAATTTAAAGAGCAATTAAAAACACATATATTTACTACTTATAGGTGGGAGTGGGAATGACTTTAATCTGAAAAGTGTAAGTGAATCTGAGGAAAAAGCTAAATTAGAGATGTGTTGAATGATCTTTTGGAAGAAACTAAAAGAAATTTGAAACTTTTCTTCAGAAAACCATAGGGCCACACAATGCTACACATTGAGCCTCACCATAATTAAATCAAAATACTTGAAAATTATATTTCAAACCTCTTTTCAACTACTGTACTTACCTTAGAGAAATCTTCAAAAGAAATCTGTGGTATGTTTATTGTTAATGAAAGCATGTCATTCTTTCTCTGGTGACTTATCCGTCTTTATCAGTTTCACTGTGAAGAGCAGAGTGATATATGAGTGTGATAACTTAAGATGACATCTTATAGTGCAATCCATTATCTGAAAGATTTAAGGAAAAAGCTCTCTGAAAAAACATAATTAAGAAAATAAATGTTTTTAGAAATATAATAAAGATCTTTTATGGTTTTGGTTCAGGAACATCCATTTCTATAATATGATACACTAAGGAAATAGTCTGCCAATCATCTAAATAACACTTGTATTTTGATTTTTATTGGTTTGGCTTCTCCACAAAGAAACTAACAAATCATTAACAAGGATTAAGAACAAAAAAGTGTCTAAAGTTTTTTTAGAAATGGATTGAGGAAGTAGATTAAAAGGAGACTCAGAGAAAAGAGACTGTTTTCTAAAAATATGGCCACGTTGTAAATGTGTGTTTATTTTCTCACCAATAAAAATAGGCAATATGTTGTTTATTGCCTGGATAGTTGGACTTGACTTGGTTTTTGGCTCCTGATTTTTGGTCTGAGTCTAATGAACCAATAAAAATCTCTTGATGTGCCACATAAGTAACTCCCACTTGACCCCATTCCAGGAGCTAAAGAATCTCATGGCTTCAACAAATTCTCCTGAACCTTGCTTTGGAATTATATTGTTTATTTGTAATAGTTATTTTCTCTTTGCCTTAGTTGATTTAAGAAGTCTAGTATCACGTCAGGATCATAATATATAGATACAGAACTCCTTAAAAATAAACCCCAAATCTAAAATCAGGATTGAAAAAAGGACAGAAGTGAAATCAACCAAAGTAAATGTTTAAAATATGCATTCTTAGCTGTGCTTATTCAAATTGGTCAACTCTGAATATCTTCGTTTCTTTTTTTTTTTAATTCCACTGGTTACAGATTCCAAATTTCATCCATTCCTTCTTGCCTTAAACTGTGATCTGTAACCTGTGCCTTCACTCAAATTACCATTTCAGCTCTTTTACAAACATCAAATAGCAAAGGGCAATATGGATATTTTATTAGACTTGCACAGATCAGAAACAAAAAATGTGCACACAGGTTCAGGGGACTATGTGCAGCATTTCTGTAAGGAAATAGTGGGTGTGAGGTATAGAGAGAAAACTTTCCCATCATCAAGTTCCTGGACACTATGGTACTGCACTTGTCCCACTATAATTCCTTTAAAGTATAGCGACTACTTTTCACCTTTGTAATAACTACGGTACTTCTAAAGGGCCACTACAATAGCAATGAGAATATCATCTGTTTTTCTTGGAGGTGGTAGTTTTCATCAAGCATATCAAGACATATGAGAAGATGGTATTTAAAATATTCAGCCAACAATATGTCCTGGGCATGGACCAGAATGAACACTGGCCGAAGTGCTAAAGCAATATATTGGGGCCCCGGCTGTTTCTGAGATGTGGGGACTTTTGTGAGGTCTACCCTAGTGTACACCCGGAGTAGATTCAGGAAACCTAAGCCGTTGATGTTTACCAGTTATACAAAAGTATTTCAATACCTGAACTGCTGTGGCTATACCAGGGCATGTTCACTAAATATCAGCCATGGACTTTGCAAATTTAAGCAAGCAGACATAAAAATAAGTCATACAGTCATTCTGATGTTCTTGCCATTGCACATGCTCTCTCTCTCTCTGTCTCCCTCTCTATATATAATTTATTATACAATACATTATAATAAATAGTATGTATAATAAATAGCATAAACTAATACCTACAAAATATATAATAACATATTAGTCATATTAGACATATTCTTATACCCAATTAAATTTTTATTAATAGAATAGACATAAGGCTGGAGTGCAATTAATGCAAAATTAATATATACGTTATATAACTCATGTATAAAGACAGAATATTTAACATTAGAATATTTTGTTATTCTTGTTTGGCATTGCTTTCAAAGTCCATTTCTGTTCCACATAAAGAAATTCATTTCAGGTTTTCATAGTCGTAACCCACATATTTGAAAGGGGAAGTTTCATGTGTATGAGATCATAGACCAAAGAGCATATTTGTAACCATCATTGGTTGTTTTTGTCTGTTTCATTTAGTTTTTATAGAAATAGAACGGATTTGGAAGCTTACTGTAAACACTGTGAAATGGTGAAGACTTAAGAAGCTTTTCTTAAATCTCTAAACTGCTGAGAGCGTCCTAGTATGACAAAATGGTGCCGTCCTTTAGTACTTAAATAAATATCATTCTTCCTGAAACACTACAGTTAAACTCAGTGGGTCACTTTTGTGCTTTGGGGTGTAAGACCCCAAATATTAACCTGAGGAACCTAAAAGCACACCAGAACTTTCTGAAACTTTTTCCCCCATGCTAGATGGGGTTTGGTCTAGGAGAAAAGTTTTGCTTCTCTTCCCAGTGGGTCTTGTTTTAGAACTCTCTAAAGCAATGAGCTTCTCTGGTTTATCTTCCATCTTGTTTATTGTACCTAGTCTCTGACATGCAGAAATGACTTAATAAAGGTTTTCTGAATTCGTGAAATTCACCTCCTGAAAATTACCACCTTATGATCTGAAAAAACTATCTGCTCAACAGAAAGTTACTCATATATCTGCTTCTATAGATACAGTAGTCTCCCTTACCCATGGTTTAGCTTTCTGTACTTTCAGTTAACTGCAGCCAACTGTGGTCTGAAACTATCACAGTATTTTGCAAGAGAGAGAGAGAGAGAGACTACATTCATGTAAATTTTATTACAGAAAACATGGCATATATGGGACTTAGTGCTATCTGTGGTTTCAGCATCCACTGGGGTCTTGGAATGTGTCACCCATGGATAAAGGGGGAATTACTCTGCTAGATTTGGTAAAAAGGCAGACTAGTGGAGAGATCTTCTGAAAAAAGGAGATAGGAAATGTTACTGAAGAGAAATAGAAAATATTGTATTAATTTATTAAAAGTAAAGGTTATTAGAAGGTATTAAATTTTTGATATAATGTAGGTGACAGTGTGAGTGGGGAAAGACCTGTAAGTGCAACAAGGGGATGAAATTCCCTATCTTCTAGCCATACTCCAGTACATAAACGGCTTAAAAATAATGTATATCAAAGCAATGTAATAAAGGATTACCGTGATGAATTTTATGAGATTAAGCTGCAGTTAATTTCCTTATGCATTTAAGATTAATAAACTGCTAATTAGAATATGCAAATAAGGGTTTCTGAAGCCTAAAATATATTCCCTAGCATCTTACCCATAAATCTTATTCAGTAACTATTTTGTTATATAATTGGGGAATAACAGATTGATGAGCCAATCTAATTATGTGAAATTTACATGTGTATGGTATTTTATAATAAAGGACATGAACTAATGTTAAAGTAGTGGAAAGTAGTTGTAACATTCATTATAGTTATTAATTACAAAATTTAACTTAGTTTGAAAGTACTTTGTGCCATATAAGCTATCAGCCACACCAAGTACTCTTACTACACATCTGGTGCATAATTGTCGGGTGAGACTGAGCCCATCAGCAATTACAGCAATTATTGGGACTCTTACATTTACAGCTCACACACATCACACCCAAGCACACGTTTCTGGAATATTGCTGATCATCCAGGGACCTAGATAACAACTAATTGCCTCATTATGCAAAGTGGGGAAAGATATTCGTATTTCTTACATCTTCTGTTCTACATTATACACATAGAGATGCCTGTTTGACAGCAAGCAACAGATAAAAGAATATTAGAATTATTTTTGTGCCCAGTTAAGGTTTTTTGGGTTTGGCTTCGACTTTTTCATAAAGAAAGCATCTTCATGAGGCTGGAGGACATAAAGCAATTTGAAAGCTATTATGGGTAAAAAACATCTAAAGGGTTTACACACACACAAACACGATGAAGGAATTAGGAAGGGCTCTAATGATCCTACTATTTACTACTTTGGCAAGATACCAAATGGAATAAGAATTAAAATTCTATTGAAAATTAATTCAACTGAGTGGACAGAATGCTATGAAGTATTCGGGGCATTTTCTTTCATATAATATATAACATTTACTAATATGTTCAAGTAACAAAAGTTACCTTTATACAGTTCACCTGTACTCTGTGTATTTGTCCAACATTCCCATGAAGGACAAATGTAATTAATCCCAATTTAAACAGGTAAAAAATGAAACTTTGATATATGCAAACTGCAATTTGTAATCAATAGTGAGAAAATGGAAACTGCAGCCTTTGCAATCCAGTTCTGTGTTCTTTATACCTGTGTATTGCCAGATCTATGTGTGTAAATAAAATTCAACAAAGAAATACCTGATAAGATAAGTTTTGTGGGCATTTATAGCACACTTAGTGAAAATATATAATATCACCAAGCCCGCCATATTAGACCACTTTTACCTTATTTTTCTTACTTTAATCAATATTTCATTAAATTTGACTTAACTTTATGTGTAAAGATACTGGTATGAACAACAATTACCTTGTCCATATTATTATCTCTTCCAGCTTTTTCAGAGCAGTTTGAACAAATGAATAAAAACTTGAGAAACATAAAAGATGCCTAACTAATACATATGGCACATGCATTATAATATTAAAAGGGAAGAATTCTCAACTTGTTATGTACACACTCAAGCTTTTTTTTTTTTTTTTGAGTATTCAATTAGCAGAATAACCCTACAGAATCCGTCAATATCCTGTCTTCACTGTGAACAGAATAGAAAATTCCTCTTCTTTTTTTTTTAATGACTGCCAAAATCTAGGGCACTTGGTGTTGATGCATGACTAATTACTAATGTTTCAACAGAGTAAGTCAGATTCAAATTGTAAAGGCACACAAGTGAATTTAAAACCTACTTTTTCATTCTTTGATAATTTCTCTACCAATGGAGGATAAGAAGAGATGATGCCGGTTTGAAATTCCTGACAAAAACTTAAAACTGCTTTTACCCTGTCTGGTATACTATTATTTTATTCTAACTGTGAGAAAAGTAGTAATGAGATCATCCTATTTCAACTACCGTGACTTTAAAGAGAACATGACAGATACAATTTTTCAACAAATTAGGCTGTTTTCTGAAATACTAACAAAGTTTGCCTTTTCAGAATAAAATGTTACAAGAGCTGCTTCTGGCCCTAATGTGCCCTTATCAGCGTGTGTGTTTTTAATGTGGTTAAGGTTTAACATTCATTCCAGCTTCACCTATAGCTTGTTGGTATGCTTTATCACCATGGATTTTAAACACACTGAAGAAAATAATTTCTACCCCCAAAATTATTAAAGCCCCTACAAGGAACTTTACACTTTCAAAAAAATAATTATTTTCAAATATAAACACCTCTTTATATCTTGACTTTTAGATCCCTATAAAAGCCAATAAGACAAATTTGATTCAATGGGAATTCTTTGTACTGGCAAAAAATATTACATGAACGATAATATAGGAGACCCTCTGTTATGTAAAATTACGCTATTTATTACTTTAGCAAGTTCCAATAGAATAATCGTTGATGGCCCTGAGGTGTCACATGATCCTGAATTACTTAATTGTTACATATATTCAGGAAAATAATAATGTTAACTGCATCATGCTCTAGTCTAAGCTTCAAGAAATTGGTAATACAAATATTCTATATAATCTAGCATTCTACCTAAATATTTGATCATTTGTGACAACTACATTGAATGAGAGTTTACCATACTTTTTTAACAAAAGAAAAAATATAGCTTAGTTAGCTATTGATGAGACCTACTAGAAGAAATTAAAACTCATATCTTATGATTTATCACAAAGCATTTGAGCACAAAGCATTTGAATTTGATGTTAATTCACCTTGGCTGTGACTCACTGAGAATTCTGGGTTTTACAGATGGGTAGATCACTTCCTTTTCATGTAGCTTTTTTTAATATTGTTGACATAAGAGAATCTGAAGTATCATTTCTTCACATCCTATTTCACCTGTCATTGTCATCTCAAAAATCTATTTTCTCTTGCATAAAACCTCAGTGTTTAAAGCTATAAAAGCAAACACAGCAGTGAGGAAATTTTCCCCTGGGTCTATTTGCCATATGCTTTAAAACAGAACTATTTGAACACCAAAATCAGCATTCCTGAACTTGCGTATAGAGACGTTTGTTTTCTTTTCCCACCTGCATAAGGGTAAAGAATTCAGGCTTGCAGAATATCCTTTGAATTCTAAAACCTTGCTGAAAAATCATTTTTATACTGCAGAGTGATGACTCTTGCTACCTTCTTATGATTGGAAGGGTTTCCAAGAGAAACAAGATGGACTTGACTTCTCTTGGAAATATAACTCAGAGTGTTTGAGAGATTTAGAAGTTATTCTTCTGTTACTTTCTAGATATTCACTTTTAATTATAAGTAAAATATGTTTCAGATCCAAACAATGGTGACTTCATTCATTCATTCATTCAAAAAATGAGTGTATTATGTTTTCACTGTGTTTCCTTCACAGATATTCTTGGCACATCAGATAACACAGTGAAAAAAAAACAGATGACAAATCGTCACCTTCTAAAGCTTATATTCTACAGGGGGAATAAAAAAACAGAAACGTATACATACACGCATGCATATACACACACATAAATTTAATAGCATGACAGATGGTAATACTGCTATGGAAAAAATAAAGCAAGAAAAAGGAATAGTGAGTTTAGGATGAGGTTTGGAGGGTTAAAATTTGAACAGAAATTTGAAGGAGATGAGAGTACAGATATCATGCTATCTGTGGGGAAGATTGCTCCAGGTTCTAGGACTAGCAGGTATAAAAGGAATTTGCTGGGGAAGAGCACGGAGGACCATGTGTCCAGAAAGAGAAGTTAAGTAACCAGGAGTGAGGGGCAGACTTATTGAGGCTGTGTGCAATTAAAGGGGATGTTGACTTTAAGTGAGAGGGAGGGCCATTAGTGGCATTTGAGCAGAGCAATGAAATATTCTACTTAAAAAAAATAATAAGCTAACTTTAGCTGCTATACACAAGGAAGCAGAGGTGCCACTTAGGAGATTATTGAGTATTTTAGGAAGAGATGAGAGTGTCTCAGACCTGGGTGATAGTGATATAGGTGATGAGAATCAGACAGATTCTGGATATAGTCTGAAGTTTGAGACATTTGGCTTTTGTATTCAATATGAAATATGACAGAAAGGATGAGTTGAAGGTATTTGATTTGAGCAAGGAAGAAGTTGCATTTATTAAGATACAAAAGAATGCAGAAAAAGAAGGCTTGGGGGAAATGTCAGAAGTTAGCTCTAGACTCTTGAAGTTTTAAATTCAAAATAAATATCCAAGTGAGTACTACTCAATCTATTGAGTAGATGATTGCATATCTAAGTTTGAATTTCAGAGAAGAGGTGTATACTATAAATATATATGTGGATTTTGTCAGTGTGGAATTGGTATTTAAATCCAGGGGTCCAATTAAAATCACCAAGAGAGTAATGTAGATAGAGAATGGGAGATGTTTGAAGACTGAGCCTTGGGATATCCAAGACTCATAGTTTGTAGAGATGAGAAAAACCACAAAAGAAGACTGAGAAGGAACAGCCAGTTAAGTAAGAGTAAAATCAGAAGAGTTTAGGCTGTCCTGGAAGGAGGACTGATGTTTCTGCTAAAGTGATGCAATGATATTGCAAATGTAATATACTTGAAAGACACCAAGAGGAGAGGTATTGGAGGCAGTACATTTTTGCTTAACAAAAAAGCAAGGGAAAAGGACAGTAGATAGAGAGGGATAGTGTAAAAAAAAAAAGCTGTATAATTTTTAAAGAGAGGGTTATTAATGGGTACAAATTTACAATTAGCTAGAACTGTAAATAAGACCCATTCAATAGCTCAGAAGGGTGACTACAGTTAACATTTATCTATTGTATATTTCAAAATAGGTAGGAGAGAATAAATCAAATGTTACTAGTATAAATAAAAGATAAATATTTAAGGCAATGGATATTCTGATTAACCTGATTTGACCTTTAGAGATTATATACATGTATCAAATTATCACTTGTATCCCAAAAATATGAACAACTATTATCTATCAATTTAAAAAGTTGGCTAAAATAGCAGTACTTTTGTTGGAATGAATTCATAGAAAAATAAATGATAATGTATGTGAATGAAGAATTTCTGGAGAATTAAATTTCTGCAAGTAATGATGGAATATAGTATACAAATGGGTGCATTGCCTTGTATACAAGTAAGGATAGTTTATCCAGAGTGATAGGAGAGGTCTATGGGCTCATTCACAGGTCAGTCTGTGAATATTGTGATGAAGGCTTTGGGATATTTTTTCTGATTCTTTTATTTTCTTAATGAAGTAAGAAGCTGAGAATGAGAAAGTGTAGAAGCTTAAGAAGGAAATGTTAGGCAATAGTAATCAAGGAAAAGAAGGAGAGTGAATGAAATAGATGTCAGTAGTAGAAGGGCAGATGGCAACAGAGGCTCACATGGGTTTAAGGGTCATGAAGACCATGCTTCATATTGTTAATGTTTTTCTAGAGCCATATTTGACCATGGGTAGGAGGAGTAATTTAACCATTGTATAGAGATTCTCCAACTGTATATAAGGCAGCAACAGAGTAGCAAACACAAGTAAATAAATGTAATGACCAATTATGGGGGAGGAGCAAATTAAGAGCATGAGGAAGAGAGAGAAGGCAAGGGGCAGAATCAGTACACTGTAAGTTCTAATGCTGAAGTTAGGGTACTAAGAGTGAACTCTCACCTTCTCTATGATAACATCCATATTTACATAAAATCTGTACACAAACATTCTGATACAGTATAGCATCTTCCATTTTCCATTGAGAATGATTCTCATCCATTTGTGCTATTCCCATTTTGCAAGGAGGACCTTCTTATGTTGGGAAATTTTAATGATTATAAATGCTCTGCATATAATCCCTGCTGACGGAATCTATGCTTCATTGATGGATGAATGTACTCAATCATGATGCGGAAGAGGGCTACATGGTACCTTCCACCAACAGCTACTTTTTCTATTCCTCTCTCTCTCTCTTTAAATATTTTGCCTTTAAAAAATATATCTTCTTACCATTTGACGCATTCCTGGGAAGGCTGTTCTTATCAGCAGACATTGCTGGAAATAAAGAGAGAAATTGTAGAAGGAAGACCAGTTATTAAAGAACAAAATGTCGATAGCCCCAAAGAGAGGTTTAATTTTAAAAAGCAAAGCTAAAAATAGCAAAAATAGAAAAAACACAAACAACAAAACCTCTAAAACTCTGAAATGCGTGAAAGAGTACTTTTCAAATGCAAGCATGCATGCTAACTTCACATTTCCACCCCTACTTATCTCTCCCACACTTGAGCCTCACAGCTCACATAGCCGCCTTTCTCCTGAGTATGACAGCTCAACTCCCAGAACAGCCTATCAGGTCACAAACCATAACTGATCATTTTTGTGTGCTTCTTAGATTCTGTTTGCCTGGAAGCAGCTTTTCTTTTAACATTATTTTTCTCCTACAGATGGAAATGGAAGAGAGGAGAATAAAAATTCAAGTCTAAGACTGAGAGGTTCCATACCAGCGAGCCTGGCACCAGGTTGAGCATGTATCATAGGGAAAAGTTAGAGACCACACAAGCCTCTGTGGTTATACTATGCTGCAGAGAAGAGGGCAAATTAAACTGGAGGTCCACCTTACAAGAATTTTGTGAACAGCTGAATGTTATAACTGTTATGAATACCTGCATCACCTAACTTAACCACATGAAACTCACTCGTGAATTCCCTACTGTACACATGTCAGCATTCTGAGGTTTTAGTGATTTTCTTAAACACCAGAATACTACCAAGGGGTCACTCAAAATGCAGTGCTGGGAATGTTGTAAGAAACAGTTATTCCCCTTATTTAACCAAATTTTCTGTCACAAGCTGCATAATTCCAAGTTTCTGGATCTTATTTAACCCTTGGGGAAAAACCAGTCCTTGAATTAAAATTAAATATAACATTATTCCTGAAGTATTACAGGATTTTTTTTTTATTTCTTGAAAGCGGAGTATTCATAATTACTACTTTTTTTTTTTTTTTTGAGACAGCGTCTTGCCCTGTTGCCCAGGCTGAAGTTCAGTGGCACAATCTCAGCTCACTGCAAGCTCCACCTCCCTGGTTCAAGTGATTTTCCTGTGCCAGTCCCCTGAGTAGCTGGGATTACAGTTACGCACCACCAAGCCCAGTTAATTTTTTGATTTTTAGTGGAGACAGGGTTTCACCAAGTTGGCCAGGCTTGTTTGAACTCCTGACCTCAAGTGATCCTCCCACCTCAGCCTCCCAAAGTGCTGGGATTACAGGCGTGAGCCACTATGCCCGGTCTCATAATTACTTTGATCTCCCTCTCATATAATTAAAGAAATCATTCTATCATCTTTTCTATCACGTTATTCTCTTTACACATTTGTCCGATTTCTTTCTGCTCCTCTGTAGTGACAGTTTTAAAATCTTCATTTGTTATTGCGTTATTATATACTGATCAAAACACCAAAATATACTTTGTGCTAAACATTTCATTGTGCACTATGGATGATTACAAAATCAAGTAAAAACACAGCTTCAGCTCTGAAGGTATGATACAGATAAATACCACTGTGAAAATT
Source organism: Homo sapiens (assembly GCF_000001405.40). Lineage (NCBI taxonomy): Eukaryota > Metazoa > Chordata > Mammalia > Primates > Hominidae > Homo > Homo sapiens. Next base: position 147,689,730 of record NC_000007.14, read on the forward strand.
TTGTGTGATTAAAGATAAGTGAGATTATTGAAGAAAGTAGGTTTTCCTAGAGTCAGGATTTGAAGTAGGGGTTATTCACAGAAAGAATAAAAAAAAAATTTCAAATTGCAGGAGACAGTATGCAGAAAAGCTGGATTTGACCCCGATGACTTGTCCCCATCCCTTTTATTTCAGCAATATTTTCCTTTCAACTAAAGCACCAATGCAAATTATACCAGTTTTTTCTCTCTGTAGATTGTGTGGCTTGAGGAACTACGGTGTAGGAACCAATCAGTGCCAAGCCTCCCTCCCCAAATTCCGCCTCCAGTCTCCCTTCCTTCCTTTCTTCCTCATTGTCTACAGAGGGTGCCCAGAAAAGAATCTTATTGCCTCCTTTTCCAATGATTTACAGGATAAATTCCAGATCCTTAGCATGGCCCACACTTTTCTCTGTGTTGTGGCCCTGTTTCACTAACGTTACCTTGCTCGGCTGGCAGTTTCATTTCTCCAAAATGACTTTTTTCCCTGTCCACCAGGCAAACTGCCTAATATTTCAAGACGTAACTCTGATACCACCTTCTATACAAAGTCTTCCCTTAGGCAAAATGTCTAATCTTTTCTCTACTTCTTTAAAACCAAACAGGTTTCTTTCATTTTATTGCATTTCTGTGTAGCTTTCCTCTGAGATTTTTGAAGTCAGGGGCTCTTCACTCAGCATTACATCAATACATCATTACCGACCAATGACTATATCTCAGACATTGTACCAGGCATTTACGATGATGGTGACCACAATCATACATAGACTCTTGCTTCATGAAGTTTATCGAGTAACAAAAAAGGTATCCACAAATAATTACACAAATAATTAATCTTAATATATCATAAAGGAAAATTACACAGCAATATGAAAACAGATCAAGGAGAGCAAATAGATTCTGGACTGTTGGGGTGGGAGGCAATATTAGGAGTCACAGTTTTTATGTATATATGCTTTTCTTTTGATAAATTAGAATCATTTATAAAACTTTTAAAGTTTTTCTTTCAATTATCATTGTATATTTGAATAATACAATTAATCATCCACTTTGAGTTGTATTGACCTTAAATTGTGTATTTTGATTCTCCACTGTACAGATGAAAAAATTATATTGTATTTGCAATGTAATTATTGCTTATTATACTTCCCCCTACTCTGCCTCAAAATTTTGGTTAGTTATATTATTATTTCAGCTTTTCTAGCAGTTATCTTTATATAGCGGTGAACTTGTGACTGGCTTTTAAGTCCAAATCCAAAATAAATTTTGGTTGATAATTTGTGTCTGTTAATGAGTAAAACAAAGGGAAAACATTGAAGATGAATGTCAGAACTTCACTCATTCATCAAAGATATAAATGACTTAATCATAGATCACATTAATTCAATTGGATTAATTTGATTAATTAATTCAATTATGATTGCTTGATCATAGATTAGGTTTTAAGTTCTGAAAAAAGATTTTCTCAATTTTTTGTACTATTCTATATGTAATGACTGTAGGCACAACACACTTTTAAGTTTCATCTGTATTATTAACATTTTTTCCGTTCTCTCTTCAGTTTGACAGTCAAAAAAGCAGTAAGTCAAACCCTGATTTGCAGCATTTGTCAATTTCCATGGTATAAATATTCCCTGTGTGGCTTATTTAAAGCTTCCAGCCTACCCTCATGGAATGCAGAGAAGAGCACAGAGAGATAATACATGTTATTTGAAAGACTCAATATTATCACAATATCTACTCTTCCTAACTTGATCTACAGATTCAATGCAATCCGAATCAAAATCTGAGTAAGCTATTTTATGAATGTTGACAAAGTGATCACCAGCAGCATACCACAATGTAGGATTTCCCCCACACATTTGCGGTGTCAAGAGCATAGATACTAGTAAAGTGTAGTAAAATCCGTTAACTTATTTACTTGCAAATGTATATGCTTAATATTTTCAATAAGCTTTATTTTATTATCAGAGAAGTTTTAGGTTTACAGCAAAATTAAGCAGAAAATATGGAGTTTCCATATTCCCTCATCTTCACACATACTCAGACTCCCCTACTATCAACATCCCACACCAGAGTGGCTTGATTTGTTACAATCAATAAACCTACACAGACACATCATTATCAATCCAACTCCACAGTTTACATTAGGGTTCACCCTTGCTGTTGTACATGCGTGGGTTTTGACAAATGTATAATGACATGTGTCTACTACTGTAGTATCACACAGAATGTTCCACTGCCCTAAAAGTCCTCTGCTCTGGTTATTCATCATTCCACTTCTCCAGATTCTGACAACTATTGATCTTTTTACTGTTTCCATGGTTTTGCCTTTTCCAGAATGTCATATAGTCTGAATCATACAGTATTGCCTTTTCAAATTGGCTTCTTTCATGTAATAATATGCATTTAAGCTTCCTTTGTGTCTTTTCAAGGCTCAATATCTCATTTCATTTTAGCATTGAGTAATTTGTCATTGCAATGTACCACAGTTTATTTATCCACTTACCTACTGAAGGACATCTTGATTGCTTCCACTGGCAATTATGAATGAAGTTACTATAAACATCCTTGCACAGACTTTTGTGTGAACATAAGTTTTCACCTCCTTTGGGTAAATACCAAACAACACTATTGCTGTATCCTATGGCAAGAGGAAGTACAGGTTTGTAACACACTACCAAAAACTATCTTCCAAAGTGGCCATACCATTTTGCATTTTCACCAACAATAATAAGAGCTGTCATTGCTTCACATTCTTGGCAGCATTTCGTGTTGTCAGTGTTGCAGATTTTGGCCATTCTAATAGGTGTGCAGTAGTATCTAATTGTCATTTTAATTTGCATTTCTCTGATGACATGAGCATTTTTTCTTATGCTTATCTGCCATCTGTATATCTTCTTTAATGAAGTAGCTGTTAAGATACGGACCATTTTTAATTGAGTTGTTTTCTTATTATTGTGTTTTAAGAGGGCTTTTTTCGGTATAGTTTGGATGACACTCCTCTATCAGATGTCTTTTGCGTACCTTTTCCTCTAGTCTTTGACTTGTCTTTTTATTCTCTTGACATGCTCCTTCACAGAGCAGAAAATTTAATTTTAATGAAGTCTAGCTTGCCATTTTTTCCCTAAAGTGTGCCTTAGATGTTGTATCTAAAAAGCCATTCTGACACCATAGGTCGTCTAGATTTTCTCCCTTGTCATTTCTAGGAGTTTTATAGTTTAGCATTTTACATTTAGGTCTATAATTCATTTTGAGTTCATTGTTGTGAGGGGTTCAAGGTGTATGTCTAGATTATTTATTTAGTTAGTTAGTTATTTTGCTTGTGGATATCCAGTTGTTCCAGCCTCCTTTGTTGAAGAAAACTATCTTTTCTTCATTTTAGTTCCTTCGTCAAGATCACTTGGCTATATTTACACAGATGTATTCCTGGGTTCTTTGTTCTGTTCAGCTAATCTATTTGTCTAATCTTTTGCCAACACCACACTGTCTTATTACTTTAGTTTTATAGTAAGTTTAAACTTGGATAGTGTCAGTCCTCCAACTTTAGTCTTCTTTAATATTCTTGGCTATTTTGGGTATGTTGCCCCTTTACATAATCTTTAAAGATCACTTTGTCAACATTCACAAAATAGCTTGCTCAGATTTTAATTGGGATTGCACTGAATCTGTAGATCAAAGTAGGAAGAGTAGATATTGTGATAATATTGAGTCTTTCAAACAATACATATCAGCTGTTCATTTCGTTCTTTGATTTCTCTCATCAGAGTTTTATAGTTTTCCTGTTATAGCTCTTGTGCATATTTTGTTAGTTTATTTCTAGGTATATCATTTTCGGGGGGCGCTGATATAAATAGTATTGTGCTTTGAATTTCAAATCTTACTTATTTATTGCTGGTATATGGTAAAGTGATTGACTCTTGTACTTTGACCTTGTATCTTGCAACCTTACTACAATTTCTTATTAACTCAGATAGTTTTTTTGTTGTTGTTGTTGATTCTTTCAGATTTTCTACATAGACAATGATGTCATCTGTGAACAAGCACACAGTTTTATTTCTTCCTCTCCAATATGTATACCTTTTCTTTTATTTTCTTGTCTTATTGCATTAGCTAGGACTTTCAGTACAGTATTGAAAAGCAGTGGTGAGAGGGGACATCCTTACCTTGTTCCTGATCTTAGCAGGAGAACTTCAGGTTTCTAACTATTAAATACATTAGCCGTAGATTTTTTGTGAATATATTTTATCAAGTAGGAAGCTCCCCTTTATTACTACTTTATTGAGCATTTTGTTATGCTTTGTTTTTTAATCATGAGTGGGTACTGGATTTTGTCAAATGCTTTTTCTTTATCTCTTGATATGATCATGTGATTTCTCTTCCTTAACCCATTGATATGATGGATTACATTAATTGATTTTTAAATGTTGTACCAGTCTTGCATATCTTTAATAAATCACAGTTGTTCATAGTATACAGTTCTTTCTATACATTGCTGGATTGGATATGCTAATATTTTGTTGAGGATTTTTACATCTATATTCATGAGAGATAATGATCTGTAGTTTTCTTTTCTTATAATGTCTTTGTCTGGTTTTGGTATTCCTCAAAGTATGAGTTAGGACATATTCTCTCTGCTTCTACCTTCTAGATAAGATTCTAGAGAATTGATATAAATTTCTTCTTTAATTACGTGGTAAAATTTACCAATAAGTTGATCTGGGCCTGCTGTTTCCTGATTTAGAAGGTTATTAATTATTGATTCAGTTTCTTTAATAGATACAGGCCTATTCAGATTGTCAATTTATTCTCATGTGAGTTTTTCAAAGAATTGGCCCATTTCATCTAGGTCATCAAAATAGTGGATTTAGAATTTTTCACAGAATTCATTTGTTATTCCTTTAATGTCCACAGAATCTGTAGTGATGGCACCTCTTTCATTTCTGCTAGTAGTAGTTGATGCCTTCTCTCTCCTTTTTTGTCAGTTATCCTGGCAAGAGGCTTATCAATGTTACTGATCTTTTTGAAGAACCTGTTTTCAGTTTTGTTGATTTTCTCCATCAATTTCCTGTTTCCAATTTTATTACTTTGTGCTCTAATTTTCATTACTTTTTTTTCTTTGCCTACTTTGGAATTAATTTACTCTTCTTTCTTTAGCTTTTTAAAAAACTAAGGCAGAAGTTTATATGGCTGATTTTAGATCTTTTTTTCTAATATATGCATTTAGTGTTACAATTTCCCTCTAAGCACTCCTTTCACTGCATCCCACACATTTTGATAAGTTTGGTTTTCATTTTAATTTAGTGCAAAAGATTTTTAAATTTTTCTTGTAATTTATTTTTTCTAAATAACACATATCTTCTTTAGAAGTGTGTTATGTGATCCCCAAATATTTTGAAAATTTCCAACTATCTTTCTTTTATTGATTTCTCACTTAATTCTATTTTGGTCTGAGAGCAGACACTGTATGATTTGTATTCTTTTAAATTTGTATGTGTTATTACCCAGAACGTGATCTATCTTGTTGAATATTTTATGTGAGTCTGAGAGCAATGTGCCTTTTGTGGCTGTTGGATGAAGTAGTTTATAGGTGTCGACTGTACCTAGATGATCTAGTGTTTTTGAGTTCAGCTATGGCCTTACTGATTTTCTGCCTGCTGGATCTGTTAATTTATGGATGAAGGGTATCGAAGTTGCCAACTATAACAGTGGGACTTAATCTAATTCTCTGGGCAGTTCTATCAATTTTTGCTTTAAGTATTTTTACATTCTGGCCGGCACCGTGGCTCATGCCTGTAATCCCAGCACTTTGGGAGGCCAAGGTGGGTGGATCACGAGGTCAGGAGTTCAAGACCAGCCTGACCAACATGGTGAATGAAACACTGTCTGTACTGAAAATACAAAAAATAGCTAGGCTTGGTGGTGCATGCCTGTAATCCCAGCTACTCTGGAGACTGAGGCAGGAGAATCTCTTGAACCCGGGAGGCGAAGGTTGCAGTGAGCTGAGATTGTGCCACTGCACTCCAGCCTGGGCCACAGAGTGAGACTCCATCTCAAAAAAAATAAAAAACTAAAAAATTTTTAAAAAGTATATTTACATTCTGTTGTTAGAAAACAGACATATATATTAAGAATTGTTATGACTTTTGGCAGGGAGGATTGACCCCTTTATCATTATGTAATGCTCCACTTTCCTGACAAATTTTCTTGCTGTGAAATCTGCTCTGTCTGAAATTAATACAGCTACTTCCACTTTCTTTTGATTCATGTTAGCATGATCTATGTTTCTCTATCCATTTATTTTTAATCCATATTTGTCTTTACATTTAAAGTGAATTTCATGTACAACACATATTGTTAGGTTTTGGTTTTTTATTCAGTCTGACAATCTCTGTCTTTTAATTGGGGAATTTAGACCATTGACATTTAAGGTAAATATCGATGTAGTTCAATTAATATCTATAATACTTGGGTTTGGTTTTGATTTTTTGCCCTTGTTCTTTGTTCCTGTTTTCATCTTTCACACATTTGCTGCTTTTTGTGGTTCTGAGGATTTTATATGACTCTATCCTCTCTCTTTTCTTAGTGTCTCAATTATACTTCTTTGTTTTTACTTCTTAAGTGGTTGCCCTAGGGTTTGCAATAAATATTTGCAACTAATTCAAATCTGCTTTCAAATAACTGTCACAGGTAGTGCAAATACTTTATAATAACAAAATATTTTGAATCCCTCCTCCATATACATAGAGTACATTATTATTATTATCATGAACAACCTGTTGTCTGTTAGATAAATTAAGAATAAGAAAAATAAAAGTTTTTGTTGTGTCTTCCCTTAATCATTCTTTAGCGCTCTCCCTTTATGTAGATCTAGTTTCTGACCTATATCATTTTTGTTTCCTCTGAATAACTTCATTTAACATTTTTTTTGCAAGTCAGATCTACTGGCAACAAATTTCCTCTATCTTTATTTGTCTGAGAAAGTCCTTATTTTTCCTTCACTTTTGAAGGATAGTTTTGCAGAGTGCAGAATTCCAGGTTGGCTGATTTTTTTTTTCTCCCAACACCTTGAATATTTAACTCTACTCTCTTCTTGCTTGCATGGTCTCTGAGGAGATGTCAGACGTAATTTTATAAGTGAAGTGTTTTTCCCTCCCTCTGGCTTATTTCAAAATTTTTTCTTTATCTGATTTAATGAGGTTTGAATATGATGTGCCTAAGCATAGTTTTTAAATTTTCATTTTTTGGCATTTATCCTGCTTGGTTTCCTTTGAGCTTCCTATTTCTGTAGTTTGATGTCTGCAATAGTGACTGAGAATTTTTCCAAATTAATGTGTGGTTTGGAAGTTTCTGTTATCACGTCCTCACACTCAGAGATTCTCTCTTCAACCACATTCAGTCTACTAATTAAATGTCAGTCACCAAAGCCATTCTTCATTTCTGTTAACAGCGTTTTTATTCCTTAGCATTTCTTTTTTGTTCTTTCTTAGAATAGCCATCTCTCAGCTGACATTGTTTATTCGCTCTGACATGTCTTTTTTTTCCTATTAAAGCCTTCTAGCATATTAATTATACTTTAAAAAAATTCCTTTTCTGATAATTCCAACGTCCCTACCATATCTGACTCTGGTTCTGATGCTAATTCGATCGATCTCGCCAACTGTGGTTTTTTGTTTGTTGCCTTTATTAATGCAGCGATAAGTCATGAGGATGATTTTCTGATAATTTCAACATCCCTACCATATCTGACTCTGGTTCTGATGCTAATTCAGTCTCCAACTATGGTTTTTGTTTTTTTGCCTTTATTAATATAGTGATACGTTGTGGGGGAGCGGGGAAGCATTCTATGATTAGGTCTCAGTCTTTTGGTGAGCTTGTGCCTCTGGGCTATGGACTTCACAAGTTTCCGCCAACCCCTTTACGTGGCACAGGGTGACTGGAGGAGACCACAGCTGTGCATTTCCCCTCCCCTAGGTAAGTGAGGCTCTGATACAACCTCAGAAGATTCAGCTCTGGTAAAATAGTTTCTCCTCTGGGTAGGCCTTGTTAAGAAGAACGGAAGGCTGTGATGTATTTCAAAATGGTAACATTTCCTTTCTCCCTACTAGAAGCAAAAGGGACTCTTTTCCAATATTTACTGTGAGAAGCTGGCAGACTCCTGGAGAGGAAACTTGTAGAAGTGTGAGGACCCCCTATGACTGAGTGCCCTGGAGTTTTCATCTTTCAAGCTTGTCCACACTCAACCTCCAGAAGTTCGTTAATTACAGTTTAGGGTTTCCTACCCTGGTACTGGCTCATAATGAGTTTTCTGCTCATGGATTTCTGTTTGGTTATTAAGTTGTAATTTTCCGTGTCCACCTGTCTATCTCTCCAATGTTGCCCTGTGGTTTGCTCTATGAGTACCCTTCTCTGATAGATTCAAGAAGAGTTGTAATTTTTCATTTTGCTCAGATTTTTACTTATTGTTAGGCCAGACTGAAGATACCTAATCTCCTTACATGCCAGATCAGAAATCAGGAGTTTATACTTTATTTTTCAGTTATGGCTTTATTTAACAACTGGTTTGCAAATTTCCTGAAAATTTAACAGTTGCCTCTTGTGAGTTTGGGGTGGGAAAGAGAAGGGGCTCCAACACACCACTACCTTTATACCATTACATCACATATTTAAACATCTATTATTGATAGATTTGTTTTAAAATAATGTCAGTTACCAACTGTCTATTAAATATGAAAAAAAATCATTTCTTCTTTCTTCTTCCCCCATCCACACTTAAGCTTTTCATTTCACTGCTACATTTTATTATTTAAGTCCAAATGACAGGACTTTTTTTTAAGACATGGTCTTGCTCTATTGTCAAGTCTAGAGTGCAGTAGCACAGTCATGCTCACTGCTGTCCTGAACCCCAGGCTCAAGTGATTTCCCCACCTCAGCCTCCCAGTTATCTGGGGCTAGAGGTGTGCACCACCACACTCAGCTAATTTTTGTATCTTATTTTGCAGATATGGGGTTTTGCCATGTTACCCAGGCTGGTCGTGAGCTCCTGGGCTCAAGCAGTACCCTGCCTCAGCCTCCTAAAATGCTGGGATTGCTGGTGTGAGCACATTATTGAATAATATCAGAAATACTAACCAAAATAATTAGAAAAAGTAAATAAATAAATAAATACCTTAGAGGAAAAAATCAACAACAACCTTTCAAGTGAAGGAGTGGGACAGATCTTTCTAAGAAGGAAACAGAAATCAGACATTATAAAGCAAAGATTGACCAATAGAACTAAAGAAGAACTTGATAAATTTGACTACATGTAAACACTAATTCATATGAGAGGAAAAGGGGTAGTAGTGCCCTTAATACATGCTTATAACTTAATGTTTAGATTATAACGATTTAAAAAAAGAATAAATATATATAAAGGGTTATCTAGGTGACTTAAGCAAGCTGAACGGGTTGGAGTTCATGCCTCATCCCCACTAAAATTCTATTAAAAAAAAAAAAAAACGCTTTTTAAAAGATGGCTTTCATAAAAAGGAATGAGTTCATGTCCTTTGCAGGGACATGGATGAAGCTGGAAACCATCATTCTCAGCAAACTAACACAGGAGCAGAAAACCAAACACCACATGCTCTCACTCATAAGTGGGAGTTGGACAATGAGAACACATGGACACAGGGAAGGGAACATTACACACCGGGGCCTGTCGTGGGGTGGGGGGCAAGGGGAGAGATAGCATTAGGAGAAATACCTAATGTAGATGACGGGTTGATGGGTGCAGCAAACCATCATGGCATGTGTATACCTATGTAACAAACCTGCACGTTCTGCACATGTACCCCAGAACTTAAAATATAATAAATAAATAAATAAAAAGATGGCTTTAATATTACAGAAAAATCACGAAGGTAGTTTTTCATTTTATTTTTAATTTTGTATTGATGTGAAAGTCACAAAATATAACATTAACCATTTTAAAATGAACAATTCTGGGGCAATTAGTGCACGTATCATGTTGTGCAATAACCAAAACTGTCTAGTCCTAAACATTTCATCACTCCCCCCAAAATTTCTAGACCCAGCAAGCAGTTACTCCCCACTCCCAGCTCCTTCAGTTCCCAGCAACTGTCAGTCTGTCTTCCTCTCTCTGAATTTACCTATTCTGAATATTTTATATAAATGGAATCACACAATATGTGGCTTTTTATATCTGGCTTCTTGTACTTAGCATAATGTTTTTGAGGTTCATCCACCCACTCTTCTTAATGGCTTTTCAAGTTCTCACACTGACAATGTGGAAAATGTATTATTTTCCTGCTTTATTCATAGCCTTTCTTTGCTTTTCACTCTCTGTTGGTAATGACCAGAATCATACCTAGTCCTAAGTGGGGCTGAAATTTTTCCCTTCGAAGGCTTTTTCTTTCAGTTCCCTAGTTGTATTAAAAAAGTAAACGTAGATATGTAGAGTAGGTACTGATATCAGTAAGGATATGATGCTATAATTTACCATGGATTAAAATGATTCAGAAAAATTACCCAGGGTTAAGTATGAATTATTAACATTTAGTGAAATACAGCTTGGGGCCACCAGTGCACTGTTCCAGGAGGGCTGTTCACATGGAGGCCCACAGTCATAGAAGGTGACCCAGGTGCGTGTAACTGCACCAGTCCATTCCCCTCATGATTACAACTATTTTACTTTATTCAACTAAATTTTATACCTATCCACTTCAAATTCATTCCCAGAAATTGTACTCACCATTTGCCACTTTTATTCTCAGAAGGTAAGAAGTTTAAAAGCCACAAAACGTATGCCTAAAAGATGAAAGAATGGAGTCACAGTATGAGTGCTAAATTGAAGAAATATCAGAAGGAAGAAATGAAATCACAAGTAAAGTGATTGAAACTTGGAAACTTATTGGTGTTTTATGAGGAGACACAATTGCTCCCACAGTGCTATACTGAAGAAAGTGCCAGCCTCCAAATGAAAAGCTGATATAAGAGTGGTGTGAAACCAGTGTTAAGTATTTTGCCTGGAAGAAATTGCTTAGAATGAGAGCAGTCCCTAAACTCCTTAGTATCATTTAGTATGTTTACTTATAACTATTACTCATCATTTGGCCCGCTGGGTCTCCTTTTGTACTGGAACAGCCCTGCCAAGGGACTCCCTGTCGTGGACTAATTCTGGAGAGTGGAACACCGCTGGGCAGGGGGTCTCTGTGCTGTGAAATCTGAAGCTAAGAGGATGGATGGCATTTAGTTGAGTGCATTCCTCCACGGATGCTCATTTAATTTTTAAAAATGTCTCTGAACTGCTGGGACGGTTCTTCCTGGATTTTTTGTAGTTCTCTTCAGTTACACACATAACTCCTTAGAGATGCATTTTGCTAGTGAGGTCTTTCAATATGTCAGGCTCTTTTCATTTAAGCTTAGACATTTTAGATGTTGGACCATTGTAGCTGAATATTTCTCTTCCCTTGCCTTCATGTAAAATGACCCTAGTGTAAAGTATAAACCTGGTTTGTTTGCAAGGAAAATGCACTCTTCAGTTTCATGTTTCTGGGTGAAGGAGTCTGTCAAAGTGCTGCCTGTCATTACTGATAACTGCAGTAGGTCAGTTTGCTTTACTGTAACATTAATTTATCATGTGACTTGTATCATGTAAGTGTAAGAATACAGCCAATAAAAGCCATAAAAATAAGTCAACTGCTAAGAGATATTTCAATTTTTTTAGAAATTCGCTGGGTGACTTGTCATTGATACATTTTATTAAATTACATATCCAAACAGAGTATACTGTGAAGATCAGGCGAGAAATTTGTCTTCTAACGGCTTTTTTCATAATTTCCATTAATCCATATTGTATTTGGTTTCTTACTGGAGGCTATTTTAAGTAGTCTTTTATCAGAATCAGAGATTTTATACTAATCCTACCTTTTAGTTATGAGCATTTAGAATATTCGTTAACAGGAGTTGTAAGTTCTCCCAACTAAACAGACGTGGTATATTCAGTTTAACACAGAGCACATATCAGAAAACTTCATTCTAGTTATAAGGCCGAACTTCCCTTAAACCTCAATATCATTTGATCCTCAAACTAAAATCTTTTGAGACTACCAGCTATGCTATGCTTTCATTACGGTGCGGAAGGAACCCTGTTAGAGACACAGTATACCTAAGTTTTGGGTCCAGCTCTCTCTAACTGCCTGCATGAATATAAGCTTGTTATTGAACCTGTTTCCTTAACTGAGGGAAAAAGGATTTGAAGTAGAACAGTAGTTCTTAACCAGGAGACCATCAAATCACTTTGGTTGGTTTTTTTTTTTTTTTTTTTTTTCCGAAATATACTTGTCCATATCTCTCTGGCATCCTTCAACCCCATTCTGATGTAATGAAGCTGGGGTGGTTAATTTCCAGTTAAGTTTGTCTTGGAGAGATGACATCTCTCGTCGGATCCACCTCTACAAGATATGACTCTGAAATCACAAGAGCTGGGGTTGCAGAATTTGCAGCAGCAATTGTATCAATGGCATCAATATTCTTATAAAAAGTGTTTATATCTAGTTCTAGCAATGAAAGTCTTGAACAGACTTTCTGATTAAAATCAGAAAAAAATACAACTTTCTGATTAAAATAAATGGGTTAGCTGTTTCCCAATCTGTTATGACAACAAACCTATTTCTGGACCAAAAATCTTGATGTGTAATGTAATGTAAGATATGGTCCCACATATGTTTCAGTAAGAATAAAGAATATTTAAAAGTATAGTGGTCCTCACTAGACTTCTTCTCGGTGGGAAAATTGTACAGAATGCGAGTTCTGTAACCTCTGCTTCCTTTAGTAACCCCACCTGAGAGCCAGAAGACCAACAGTTCAGACCAGAAAAAGTAATAGAAGCAGAACTTCCGGAGGCTTGCAGATGGAGTGTTAATTGGTGATCTGAAAAAAAGTGCTTCATCTCTCTTGTCGTTAATGTTTGGGTCTGCAGGAAAGGCTGACTTCATGAACATGTGGCCTGTGTAGCCACAGAGGGCCCCAAGTTCAGAAAGGCCTCGTGCTGTTGTAATGCTCTGCTGTGATGGTCTTGAAATCCTTAATGTTTTTAAACAAGGGTCCTGCATTTTCATTTTGTACTGGGCTTTGCAAATTAGGTAGTTAGTCCTGCTTGTAGCAATGAAACTAACACCCCCTGCCCCGGTAAAACCAAGCAGTTCCTATCATTTTTCTGCTTCTTTACTTTTGCCTTTAAGGATCACTTGTTATTTACATTGTTCAAGCAATGGTAAGAAGTGTCACTTTCCCTGGCTGCCTCCCACACTTGAGGCGCATAGCAAGCCTGTCCTCTTCAGTTCTGATGACCTGCCCATTCTAACCACTGCGCCTGTTTCCTGAACCCTTCTCCATACACCAACCACATTACCAACCTCCCCTTCCCATCGAGAGAAGACGATTTGCTTCTTAATTCCCAGATCACTCTAATTAGAACACTGCAAAAACTGACAACTAAAGCAAGTGGCCACCTACTAGTTCTCACACACTGGACTCTCTAACAGTAATGAATTTCTGTGATTATTTCCTTGCTACTAATAAAATACTAGCTGGAAAAGTGGTCAAGTGAGGAGCCACCAGAATTTTATTTCTTCTTCAAGCATTTAATAGCCAACTATAGGGCCCTGGGCATTTACTGAAAGGCAATTTCAGTTATGTTAGTAAATTGCTGTTTAGGACAACAGATCAATAAAATAAATTATTAGGTCTATAATTTAGGTATTTACAGAGTAAGGACAAAAAATACTTTTTCACTCTGTGTATTCAAAGCAGTTGATCCATGATTTTTGGATACATAATAGCTGTATGTATTTATGAGATACACGTGATATTTTGTTACATGCATAGAGGGTATAATGATCAAGTCAGAGTATTTAGGGTGTCTGTCATCTGGAGTATACATCATTTCTATGTGTTGGGAACATTTCAAGTTCTCTCTTCTTGCTGTTTTGAAATATACATTTTTGTTAACTGTAGTCACCCTACTGTGCTACTGAATATTAGCATTTATTCCTTCTACCTAAATGTATGTTTGCACTCTTTACCCAACTTCTCTTCGTCTCGCTCCCCCATGCACACACCCTTCCCAGCCTCTGGTAACCATTATTCTACTCTCTACCTCCATGAGGTCGATTTTTCAGCTCCCACATATGAGTGAGAACATGCAATATTTGTCTTTCCATGCCTGGCATATTTCTTTTAAGATAATAACTCCAGTTCCATCCATGTTGCTGTAAATGACATAATTTCATTCTTTTTTATTGCCAAATATTAGGTTGGCACAGCAGTAATTGCGGTTTTTGCAATGATAATAGTATTCCATTGTGTACATACACAACTTTTTTGCTGTTTTTCTCAATGACTCTAGAGAAACATTTATTCGCTAATACATTTTCTTTGTGTTCTCTAACTTAATGTCATCTTTTCATCTCGCTTGATTTTCATGCAGCTAAATCGGAAATTTGTCGTTTTCTCCCTAAAAAAATACAATAAAGTTCTTTCTTATAAATTATATTCTCTGATTTTCTTGTCAGCCTGCTTCAAGAAAATCCATGTGTGCAAAATACTTGCTATCAGTTTGCCCCATACCAAATGGCTGTTTAATCCAAATATCTGACCAGCAAACCAAGCAATTCCTTCTGAAGAAAGGGTGGTTGGACAGCCAAAGCCACTGGGTAGTGGAAGAGAAGACCACCCATCCTGAGCTCCCCAGTCTAGTGTGAGGGGAGGACAGCTGATAGCTGGAGATGCAGCATTTCCAGATGTCACTGGTCCCAAACCATTATCAGAGTAACACTGGCCTCATAGAATGAGTTAGGGATAATTCCCTCTTCTTCAGTCTTTGGACGGTATTTTCGAGGAGAGCTCTTGTCCGTTCTTTGAAAGTTTGTTAGAATTCAACATTGAAACCATTCAGTTTTGGACTTTGCTCTGTTGGGAGACTTTTTTTACTGATTCAATCTCACTGCTCATTATTGGTTCGTTCAGGCTTTTTATTTCTTGCTGATTCAATCTTGATAGGTTGTGTCCAGAATTTTAGACATGTTCTCTAGGTTTTTGGTTTGTTAGTGTATAGTTTTTCATAATGGTCTTTAATTATGTTTTTATTTTTGTAGTGTCAGTTGTAATGTCTCTTTTCTATTTCTCATTTTTTTATTTGGGTCTTCTTTATTTCTTGGCTTGTCTAGCTAACAGTTTATTGATTTCATCTTTTAAAAAACCAACTTTTCATTTTGTTGATCCTTTGTATTTTTTTAAGTCTCTGTTTCGTTTAGTTCTACTCTAATTTTTATTATGTATTTCCTTCTATTAATTGGGGCTTTGGATTGTTCTTGTTTCTCTAGTTTCTTGAGGTGCATTAGATTGTTTATTGAAATCTTTCTACTTTTTTTTGACATAGGTGTTTATGGCTATAAATTTTCCCCTTAGTTTTGCTTCCATAGTTTTGGTATACTACGTTTTGACTTGCATTTGTTTCAAGATATTTCTTGATTTCTTCCTTAATTTCTTCCTTGAATCAATGATCATTCAAGAGCATGTTGGTTAATTTTCATGTATTTCTGCAGTTTTTAAAGTGTCCCTTGTTACTGATTTCTAGTTTTATTCCATTGTGATCTGAGAAGATACTTGATATAATTTTGATTTTTAAAAGTTTCTTCAGACTTGTTCTGTTTCCTAACATATGGTCTATCCTGGGAAATGTTCCATGTACTGATGGGAAGAAGGTGCATTCTGTAGCTGCTGAATGAAGTGTTCTCTAGATGTCTGTTAGGTCCATTTGGTCAAGTGTGCAGTTTAAATCCTTTTAATTTTTTTGATAATTATCTGTCTAGATGATTTGTCTCATGCTGAGTGTAAGGTGTTGAAGTTCCCAACTATTATCGTATTGGAGTCTATCTCTCCCTTTAAATCTAATAATATTTACTTTCTATATCCAGGTGTTCCAGTGTTAGGTGCATATGTGTTTAGAATTTTTATATCCACTTGCTGAGTTGATCCTTTTTCATCATATAATGATCTTTCTTGCTTCTGTTTACTGTTTTTGACTTAAAGTCTGTGTTTTCTCATACAAGTTTAGCTATTCCGTTTGTTTGTGATTTCCATTTACATGGAATCTCTTTTTTCACCTCTGCTTTCAGTCTGTGTCTTTATAGGTGAGATAAATTTCTTGTGGGTGGAAGAGAGTTGGCTCATTTTTTTTTTGTCTTTTCAGCCAGTCCATATCTTTTAAGTGGAAGGTTTAACCTATTTACATTCAAAGTTATTGTTAATATATAAAAGCTTATTCCTGTCATCTTGTTAATTGGTTTCTAGTTATTTTGTAATGTCTTTTGATTCTCTTTCTCTCCTATTGTTTATTATAGAAAACCTTCTGTAGTGGTAACATTTGAGGTTTTTTTTTTTTTTTTCCTTATTTGTGTGTTTGCTCTACCAGTGGGTTTTATCCTTTCATGTGGTTTTTATGATGGTAGATATCATCCTATCACTTCCAGGTGTAGGACTCCCTTTAGCATTTCTTATAGGACCAGGCTAATGGTAATGAATTCCTTCCACTTTCACTTGTCTGGGAGTTTATTTCTCCTTCATTTATGAATGACAACTTTTCTGGGTATGTAATCCTTGGGTGGCATTTTTTTTTTCTTTCAGCACTTTCAATATATCATCTCATTCTTCCTGGCTTGAAAGGTTTCTGCTGAGAGATTCACTGTTAGTCTGATAGGGGTTCCCTTATAAGTGACTAGATGCTTTTCTCTTGCTGGTTTTAGAATTCTCTCTTTGTCTTTGACTTTTGACAGTTTGACTATAATGTGCTGTGGAGAAGGCCTTTAGGAATTGTATTTGTATGGGAACTTCTAAGCTTCCTGTATCTGGATGTCTAAACCTCTTCCTAGACTTTGAAAGTTTTCAGCTATTATTTTGTTAAATAGGTTTTCTATCCCTTTTGTTTTCTCTTCACCTTCTACAGCACCCAGAATTCAAACATTTGATCACCTGATTGTGTTCCATATGCCACAAGGCTTTGTTCATTCTTTTTAATTTTTTAAAATTATTTTTGTCTGGCTGGGTTATTTCAAAAGACCGCTCTTAAAGTTCGGAAATTCTTTCTTCTCTTTCATCTAATATATTGTTGAAGCTTTCAAATGTATTTTTTATTTCATTTAAGGAATTATTCAGTTTCACAATTTCTGTTTGGTCCTTTTCTGTGATATCTATCTCTTTGGTAAATTTCTCATTCATATTCTGAATTTTTTTTCTGATTTCTTTGTATTCTCTTGCATTTCACTGAGTTTCCTTAATATCAATATTTTGAATTCTTTTTTCAAGGATTTCATAAACTTACTTTTGATTAGAATATATTGCCAGAAAATTCTTGTGTTTCTTTGAAAGTATCCTTGTTTTTCCATGTTTCTTTTGTCCTTACATTGACATCTATGTATCTGGTGTAAACATTTCTTCTTCCGGGTTTTTGAATTTGCTTTCCTAAGGAAGGACTCTGTTAAAGATGAATCTGTGGTTTAGGTTGGGTAGGACACTTTGGCTTTGATTCTGGATGCTTGCAGTAGTGTAATCACTGTGTGATTTATTTGGCTGTAAATAGTATCAGTGGTGTCAGTGATTTCCTCAGTGACTGCAGTGTCTGTGATTTCCTCAGTGATTTATGATACAGTGGAGGCTGTGATGAAGATTTTCTGGGGACAGGGACAACAGGTGGGCCTGTCCTCAAACCCCACTGGTGGCCAGTCACAGGCCAAACATGCCTTTCCTTGGGCCCCAGGGCAACATATGCTAATATACCTGTGTTAGCAGGCTCAGGCAGGCCATTCTTGGGCCTCTAGGTGGCTTGCCCAGGTGCTGGTAGTGGCAATGGTGGGCCAGGTGGGTGGGTAGGTTATCAGACCTCTGGGCAGCAGCATGGAATGGGTGATGGCAGTAGCAATAGTGAGACAATCATCTAGCTCTGAAGTGATTTGCATTGTTTGTTGGCATTGGCTACAATGGGCTGGGAAGGCCAGTCTCCAGTCCCACCTGTGGTATGTGTACGTGGGTACCCAGTATGGTGATTGCATTGTTGTGGGCATTGGCTAGAATGAGCTGGGCAGGCGTGAACTCAGGACCACAGAAGGAGTACCCTGGTGCTGATGGTGGTCAACTTGGGTAGGTGGTTTCCAGGCCCTTGGATGTCATGTCTGGACATAGAGTGGGGGAGAGAGCCAGGACTGGTGGACCTGTCCTCAGACCTCCCAGTGGTATGAGCAGGTGCCAGTTGTGGTAGACAGGGGTGGAGTGATCCACATGTCCCCAAAGAAATGTTTGAGAGAAGGCAGCAGCTGCAACCCTGCTACTGGGGAAGGCAAGGTTGCTTTCAGTGGCAGCAGCTGTATACATGTGTTTAGGGAACACACATTTTCTTCAAGCTTGACCCTGGGAACAGCAGTCACTTGCAGTGACAGCAGCTGTGGGCAGGAGAGTTTGTTCATGGGGCACATGAAAATGCATGGCAGCTTTGTTCCTGGGGATATTGGGGTCACAGTCAATGGCTTGCACTTGAATATTGGCTGCAACTAGCTGCCAGCCATGACATGCATTGGCTGCAGGTGAGGAATGTCAATAGGACACCAGGGATGTGGTGATGCAGGTACCGTTGGACCTCCCAGGCAGGATGGTAGGGGCTAGGCTTTCAATATGGTGACTTGCTGTAGCTGCCTAGGGCTTGGGGGCAGAGGGTGTGACTCAGCTTGAGCTCTCTCTGGAGCAATGCCTTCACTTGGTCTCCTTGCAGCTTCCTATGTTAGTCTTGGGGCCCACTAGGTCCTAGGGACTCTCCTGTGTCTAGGATTGCATGAGTTCATGGTGGGAACCTGGACTGTTGGGGGTCACTCACTTACCCTTTTCCTCCACTGGGGAGCCAGCCTCTCCAGGTTCTCAGCCAATGCTAGCCAAGCAGGCAGCCTCACTTCCCCTTCCTTTTTTGTTTTGGTTGTGTCCTGTCACTTATCTGTTGAATTCTAATGTTCTTTCATAAATGATCTATTCAAAGTGTGATCATCTATTCACTGTTTTTGTTCTTCTCTGTGTAAGAGACACGTAGCAGATGCCTCTAGTCAGCCACCTTGCAACCCCTCTGCCATGCAGTTAATACATGATTTTTTCTACTTTTGGATGGAATTAGATAAGGCCCAAGCTAAGAACTCCATACAGCCCATTTTGTAATATGATCCAGACACAGAGATGCACTGTTCAGATCCTCGTTCAAAAAACGACCCACCGCATAGCTGAGAGGGATGTGGTCAGCTGATGCCTCCAGCTGTTAGATCCTTCAGGATCTGTCTCAGTTTTCAAACCAAGGTTACGCTCTTCTCTCAGTGATCTCCAGGCAATGGCCGAGCAGAATGATGGTACAAGGGCCAGGTCATCAACATCCCCTACAGGACTTCTCCATCAGGTTATCTTTACTCCAGAACTCCCCTTTGAGCTGGTAAAGAATTTTAGATCTGCACTGAGATCTGTCAGCTTCCTATGCCCAATCCCGCATCTTACTTTTTTCTTTAATTGGTTTTACTTCCAATAAAACTCTTGCAATCCTAACTCCATCTCAGCATCTGTTTCCCAGACAACCCAACTTGCACAATGTCCTTACAGTAATGCAAAAATGAATTTCACAGAGCTCTTTTTGTAAAGATGCTGATACATGAAGTCTCAAATTTCATGGACGTGACATAAGGAAGGCAACAGCTTGGGAAGAAAATATGAGAAATAGCACTTAGATTGGGTTTATTCTAGAAGAAAGGACACCTCATCTAACTTTCTAGTAGTCCTCTATAAACACTGTTCCTCTGGACTGGGCGTTTGATACATACCGAGCAGCCTTGTTTTCAAGGTTAGAGTCCCTAGAAAATAGATGATGTTCAGAGACAAACCTGTCTAGGTACTGAGAACTCTTTCTACTTGATGTCTGATTGCCATCTCCAACAGATTATATTTTGGGATGAATTATTCATCTTTAGCACATAAGTAATCTTTCTTATTTTCTTATTATCTTTACAAATCAGTGTAATGCCCAGAAAGCCCAGTGTACAATCAAAATTTTAGTTGCTTATTTTTTTCTTTTGCTCCTTTATGTCCAACTAGTTACTAAATTATGTTTATGTGTCTTTGAAATCTTTTGCCTTTTGCTTGTCATAAGATGCCCAAAAGATCTGTCTTTTGGCCAAACTCCATGGCAGAGATAGGCTACAGTTGTACACCAGTTTGTACAGTGTACAAAATTGTACACCAACTTTGTTTTCTTTTTCTCCTGTGCAAGATAACCAGCTGGCATCCTACAAAACACACATGAATTTTAAATAGAATTTGTGAGGAGGTATTGTTTCTGCATGTTGGAGTTCCTGTAAATTACATTTACAACTCTTTATTGGTATCATAATGTTGATGGAGAAATAGATCTCCTAGGAATATGTGCACTGACCATTCAACTATCCCCATAGCTAACATTTTGGATGCATTTTAAGCTTCTTAGCTTAGCACATAAATCCCATCATAATTTATCCTCTGTTTCCCACCATCA
This sequence comes from Homo sapiens, assembly GCF_000001405.40. Classification (NCBI taxonomy): domain Eukaryota; kingdom Metazoa; phylum Chordata; class Mammalia; order Primates; family Hominidae; genus Homo; species Homo sapiens. The sequence goes on from NC_000007.14 coordinate 147,710,355, forward strand.
CCACTCCTGAAACACAGCCTCACAGACTATTTACTCTAGCTATAACCAGTTATAATGCTTCATGCTTCATATATGCTATTTATCTTTTCAAGAATCCTTTCTTTTTTGCCTTCTGCTTAAAGACAACTTCTACAAGCCTTCAAACCTCAGCTTAAGCATTACTTCCTATGTAAACTCTTTTGTGATCTCCTAATTTGACTCTTTTTCCCTAATGCATTTATTTCCATTGGATCTCTTTTATACTTTTATCATAACATTGACTATACCGTTCCCTAAATGTTGCTCTTTTAGAACTATAATCCTATATTATTTGACTTCATATATAAATGTGCTCTAAAAATGTTGAATGAATATGGTGAGTTTTCCACTTTGATATCTTCATGCTGTCTTTTACCCCAGGGCCTCAAATTAGCCATCAGAACAGATGGCTTATAAGAACTGGTATGCTAAAAAGTAGGTTTAACTGTGGTTGTGGACATGCTTCTTTCTCAGGGGTTCCATTTCTGAAGTGGAAATTAATTTGATGCTTCTCTAGAGTGATGTTCAGATTAATGTTATGCCATTTGTAAAGGCCTCTAGGACTCTCAGATGAAGGGCATTTGATATTAGCCTCATTGTTACTCGAAGCTGTTGTAGGGTTCATCTATTTGCTACTCAGCAAGACATTTGACATTCTCGTAATACAGCACATCCCAGGATTAATTAAGAGATTTCCGGAAGTCTCAGGAATACACCTACTTTGACATCAATGTGCTGTGAATGTTGATCTTGGTAGCCTTACTTTGAATAGCTATAGGGTATTTAAATAGTAACCTAACTTACAATTAAGACTGCTTAGTCCCTGTAAGGATTCTGAGTGGAATTTAGCAATGGATAATGAATATATTCTCCGGAGTCTTATACTGAATTTGAAAAGAAACCCAAATTCCTGAGCTTTAGTCACTTAACTACAACATCTTTCTACATAAAGACCATAAGCTAAGACCATAGAAGAGAGAGCTCATGCATACATGAGTACAGATGGTTACCAAAGTAAGGATCTAAAATTGGACTCTGCTGTACTCACATCGAAGCTCCCAATGTACGAAGGGATGACCTTCCTTCAATGGCTTTATGCAAGGGTCAAAATGTATTTGAACTCTGGAGCAGAAAAGCACTGCTCTATAGGATTTCCAAGTGTTCATTATTTAGGAGGTCAGGAACGATGGGAGCATGTGGCAATCCAGACAGCTGCAGTCCCCACAGACCTAAAAGAAAACAGCTGCCAGAGCAGCCATTTCTATACAAAATGTCTCATGACCAGAAGCTATGGAAATAAACGGCTAGAGGCAGCTGTGCTTCCCTCTTGCTAAACACTCAAAGATTCCATTTTTAACACAGGATGTCTATTATTAAGACAATCAGCTAAGATGTCAATTCAAAAGCCACAAAGTTCTGCAACATAAATACTGTACTGACTTCTCTCTTCTGTTGTGTGGGACCATGGCTTCTTTCCCTGTATGCTGGGGACACTACTTCAGAATAATCAAGTGAAAATACTGCTTTTTTATGGTAACTCTCCATTCAAGAACTTATTATAATAGTGTTATAAAAAGACTGTAATCTTATCATAGGCTGTATTTGAAAATTAAGATCCTCCACAATCTGGCTCTATCCTCTTTCTCAAATCAATTTCTCATTACTCTCAATACAAATGCTATCCTTCAGGTAGGTAAGACTCTTCATTCTTGCTCCACGTTTCTTACTCACGTTCCTTCAGGCAAAAATGCCCTGTCAGACACATGAAAAAAATGCTCATCATCGCTGGCCATCAGAGAAATGCAAATCAAAACCACAATGAGATACCATCTCACACCAGTTAGAATGGCGGTCATTAAAAAGTCAGGAAACAACAGGTGCTGGAGAGGATGTGGAGAAATAGGAACACTTTTACACTGTTGGTGGGACTGTAAACTGGTTCAACCATTGTGGAAGACAGTGTGGCAATTCCTCAAGGAGGTAGAACTAGAAATACCATTTGACCCAGCCATCCCATGACTGGACATATACCGAAAGGATTATAAATCATACTGCTGTAAAGACACATGCACATGTATGTTTATTGCGGCACTATTCACAATAGCAAAGACTTGGAACCAATCCAAATGCCCATCAATGATAGACTGGATTAAGCAAACGTGGCACATATACACCGTGGAATACCACGCAGCCATAAAAAGGATGAGTTCATGTCCTTTGTAGAACATGGATGAAGCTGGAAACCATCATTCTGAGCAAACTATCGCAAGGACAAAAAACCAAACACCGCATGTTCTCACTCATAGGTGGGAATTGAACAATAAGAACACTTGGACACAGGAAGGGGAACATCACACACCGGGGCCTGTCATGGGGTGGTGGGAGGAGGGAGGGATAGCATTAGGAGATATACCTAATGTAAATGACCAGTTAACGGGTGCAGCACACCAACATGGCACATGTATACATATGTAACCAACCTGCACGTTGTGCACATGTACCCTAAAACTTAAAGTATAATAATAAAAAAATTTTTAAAAATCCCCTGTCAGTCCTCTCTGCCCACCCTTTTGACATTTGATGGTAAAGCCCAATCTTTCCTCTGCCCACATTAGTCAGTGATTTCTTTAAATTTCATTTATAACGATCCCTAAACCTCATAATTCCGCAACCAATTACATGCTAGTACACGTGATTCTCTAATCTGTGTATTTTAATCTCATCTCCTAAGAACACGGTGGCAAGATCTGTGTTATTTACTTTGAGGCTGCATCCCATTTTTTTCTTTTGTGTTTTTTTAATTGAAGTGAAATTTGCATGTAATAAAATTCACCCTTTTCAGTGTACATTTCTATGAGTTCTAAGAAATGCATGCAGTTGTATAATCACCACTACAATTAAGGGATAGAACAGTTCGAACACCCTAAATATTTTCCTTGTGACTTTGTAGTCAAACCTCTCCCACCTGCAGCCACTGATAACCTGATCCATTTCCTGCCTCTATAGTTTTCCATCTATGAAACCATGCAGTATATAGGCCTGTGTGTCTAGATCCTTTTACTTAGCATAATGCATTTGTGATCATTCATGTTTTATGTATCAGTAGTACATTCCTTTGTATTTTGGGTAATAATTCATTGTATGGATACACCTAGCATGTTTATACATTTACCGGTTGGAGAACGTTTGGGTAATTTCCAATGTGGGACCATAAAGCCACTATAAACATTCTCACACAGATTTTTGTTTGAACATACGTTTTCATTTCACTTGGAAAAATGCCTGGGAGTGGGATTGCTGGATTGTATGGTAAGTGAATGTTTAAATTGATGAGAAACTGCTAAACTGTTTTCTATGGTGGTGTAGCGTTTTGTTTTTAGACCAGCAATGAATGACAGATCCAGTTGCTCAGCATCTTAGTCATTCTAATAGGTGTATAGTGGTATCACATAATGGTTTTAATTAGCATTTCCCTAATGACTAATGATATTGAGCATCTTTTAAGTGCTCCTTTATGTTCTATATTTTTTGGTTATTTCATAGTACTAGCAAAGTACTAACAATGTATTAGATGCTTAACGAATATTTGCAGATTGTTAAATTGCAGATCATTAATACTACTCTCTTTTGCATGCCATTTGCATCCCATTACTAGCTGTTACCATTTATTGAGTACCTACTGTATGCCAAGCGCTGTAGTAAGTGCTTTATATATGGCATCTTATTAATACACATAAGAACCCTATGAATGTGCTGGGTGGTATTGTTCCCATTTGATAAGGAAAAGGGACAAACAGTGCTGACTTGTGACTCTCCAAATCCTTCTCTTTCCCCAGGAATTTTGGGTTTGCTTGTTCAGGTTCTGGAAGGTTTTTATACTACTGCTAAGGATGAGTGAAGAGGTAAATTTAAATAATCCAAAACAGGCTGAAATGATCCACATGATAAAGAGATAATTTAGAGGTTAGTGGGGCCATGAGGAAGAAAGGGAAAAGTACTTGGGAGAGGCAAGGGAAGTATAGTTGTGGAGGTAGAAGAGAGAGAAAGAGGTTCTTTGTTTGTGTGTTTGTTTTTGTTTCAGTTTTTGTTCAAAAAAAAAAGACAAGAGGGAGCAAGAATTGTGAAGAAGACTGAGGGGTTAGAGGGATGAAGAGAGTGTTTAGTATGCTAATTATGAAATATTCTCTTTTTGGAGTTTTTTTGAGTGAATAAGATTAAAACAAGGTTTTTAGGGAAAAGGAATTGGATTTTTTTATATTGATACTAGTATAAGCCATAGAGCTTATTAATATTTCAACAGTTATACACACCCTTACTTGTGCACGTGTGTGTGTACTCATGTGTATGTATATGTAGTTTTATGCAGTTTATTAAATGTGTAGATATGTGTAACCACTAATCAAGATATTTAACTGTACCATTACCAGAAGACTTCATTCTTCATTGTGCTACTTATTTACAGCGGAATCTACACCCTCATCCCTTACCCCTGGAAACCATTAATTGTTTTCTCCATATCTATAATGATGTTATTTCACAAATGCTATATTTATAAAAGTATGAAGTATGTATTCTTTTAAGATTTTTTTCACCCAGCAAATTTTTTTGAGGTTCACGCAAGATGTTGTGTGTATCAAGTTCTTCCTTTTTCTTCCTGAGTAGTATTCCCTGATATGCATATACCACAGTTTGATTAATTGTTCACACATTAAAGAAGATTTGAGTAGTTTATGTTTTGGACTATTAATAAAACTGCTATAAACCTTGGTTTATCAATTTCTGCATGAAATTAAGTCTTCCTTTATCTAGGACAAATGTCCACATGTATAATTCCTGGATCACATAGTAAGTCCATTTTTATTTTTATTTTAAAAGAAACTATCAAACTATTTTACAGAGTGACTGTACTATTTTAGATTCCCATCAGGAATGTATGAGTGATTCCGCTTATCCACATCCTTGCCAGCATTTGATGTTATCACTATTTTTATCCTAGTCATTCTGATAGGTGTGTAGTAATATTTTGTTGTGGTTTCCATTTTAATTTCTCTGATGACTAATGATGCCAAGAGAGTTGTCATGGGCTAATCTGCCATCTGTATAGTCTCTTTGTATACACGTCTTTTGTCCATTTTCTAATTTCATGTCTTTTGCCCATTTTCTAATTTTATGGGGTTTTTTTAGTATTGAAATTGAGAATTATTTATATGTTCTAGATACTAGTACTGTGTGAGATAGATGATTTGCAAATATTTTCTCCCAGTCTGCAATTTGTCTTTTCACCCTTAACAGGCTCTTTTACAGAATACTTTTTTTTTATTTTGATGAGGTCCAATTTATCAACTTTTCTTTTAATCATCTATGATTTTTGGTGTTAAGTCTAAGAACTCTTTCCTTGTCCTGTATCTTGAAGATTTTCTCCTATTTCTTTTTCTAGACATTTTATAGTTTTGTAAGCTGCGCACTTACATCTATGGTCCATTTTTAGTTGATTTTTGTATAAGGTGCAAGGTTTAGATCAAGGTTCATTTTTATTTAGCTAGTTAGCTATTTGCCTATAAATCATTGCATCGTCATTTATTGAAGACTTTTCTTCCTCCATCAGATTGCTTTTGCTCTATTTAAGAAAACTAATTGGGTATAATTAGGTTTTTATTTCTGTGAGATGCAACTTGTACCAACACTGGTCACAAGAGAGCCAGTTCTTACTCTGGTTAAATATGGATCAGGAAACTGAAACTCAGTTTAAGTAACATAATATAGCATGTATCCACCTACTACTTGGCTGTCCTTTTTACAAAGTTTGTAAATGCCATGTTGAAGTTACCTTGTTTTCTGGGGTAATACCCAAGGTTTGTTGTCTTATGTCACAGATATCGAGGATGCAGACACACAGAGTGAGGTTAACAGTGAACGTTTAATAAGCGAAAGAAAGATAATAGGTCTCTGCTACAGAGAACGGTTCTGGAAAAATGGGTTGCCAGTCCACAGTGAAATGCCAGGGGCTTTATAGGTGAGCTGGTGGTGAGGCAGAGTCTGATCTACATAGGGCACAAAAAAACTGGTTAGGACTAAGTGTGCCATTGGCATAGGGCGCAAATTTCTGGCAGCTCCCACCCTAAGCTTTTATTATGCAGGCGAGTTCTCTGCCTGAGCTGAGCCATGTTGCCAATTTCTTTCTTTCTGTACATGTGCTAACCAAAAAGGGAAGATGGAGCTTCCATGGTGGACATGCCTGGCCCCCAGGTAGCCCTTTTCTATTGACGCAGCTACCGGCATCCCCCGTGCAAGCTTCCAGCTTCCTTATCTATGTTTGCAGCTCGATTTTTCAGGCTGCTGTTTGTCAGGAAAAGAATAATTTCTTGGGCTGCTTTTTGTTAGAAGGGAAGTTCTGCCGAGGACTCTGTTGCCCTCACTATCTGCCGAAATAATTTCTTTCTACATTCTGTATCAGTATTGCTAGGATCATGAGTTGGACAGTGTGTTACACAATTTTTTAGATATCAAAGTAGTATTTATATGCTTTATTACCACAGCAAAACTAACCCGGTGCTCAGCTTGAGGTGAACTTTACATTGATACCTTTCCCTTCTCTAATAAAGCAAGTAGATTGGGAGCTACATGCTTGGCAAATACATAACAATCTTCTTGGTATGTTTCCAAAATATTTTGACAACAATATCAGTGGAATTCTTGGAGCTTATCACCAAAATCTGGGTGAAGTAGGCCTTTCTATTTCTAAAGAAAAAAAAAGGAGAGTCAATCACCTTTCCTTTAGGTCCTATGGCTGGTATTTAAAAGGCTGAGTAACTATGATTTAAATGAAATGTCGTATTTTTAAAACACTGAAAGCTGCAGTGACTACAGGCCTGGGGAGGTTCACTCTGATTTGCTGCCCATCAGATCTGCAGAAGGCACACACTAATTCCCGAGGCGCAGCATTGTAAGACTTAACACGGCCAACACTAATAATTAGGCCTGGTTGAAAAGTGGCAGAGAAATGCTCAATTTACCAGCAGTATCCTCACCTAATTTCATATATATTTTCTAATTTGACTTTGAGTTAGGCAGTATCCCATTTCATGGAAATGGGAACCAGATTCAGAGGAGGGAAATAGCAGAGTAAAATGGCAGATCTGTATCTGACTCCATAGCTAATGCTCCACCTTGGGGTTTTATTTCTTCCAATTTAGAATTTACGGTGAGTTATAGAACTTACACTGCAACTTAAGTTAATATCAAATCACAGAATATTTATCCTGGAAGTAACTCCAGGGTCTCACTGGAGAGTCTTAATGTTAAAATATACTTTCATACTATTGATGAAAAAAATTTTGAGGAGAATTTAAAAAAGCAAACAGCCAGACATGGGCAGGGCGGGGCACATGCTTATAGTTTTAGCTGCTCAAGAGGCGGAGGTGGGAGGGGTGCTTGAGTCCAGGAGTTCATAGTGAGTTATGATGGTGCCACTGCACTCCAGCCTGGGCAACAGAGTGAAAACCCGTCTCAAATACATAAATACATAGCAATGTAAAGGTAGCGCAAATAGCCTAATTTCCTCTGTTTTTTTTTTCTGAATTCACTCATATTACTATAATAGTACCAATTATATACTTTATTATATCTAATTGTACTCATGTCCCTTGTAACTAAATAACTCCTTGAAATCAAGGATAAATTCATAGTCATCTTTGTAATCATATTGCTTGATATAGTATCTGATGTATGAATGTTAACGTCAGCATGATTAATTGTAATTAAATGTGCCTAGCCAAGTTAATTTATTTATTTTACTTTGACCGTGGAAGCACAGTTGTATTAGCCATGGAATGCTGCCTCAAATACCTTTCATATATAGGTATAGGTAGGGTAAAAAGCTACACAGAACATTACTAAACTCCAGCTTTCATAGTCATTTGTATGAGCACGTACTACACAGGCAATTAATGTAACTGTAGCTATTTTTATACATGGAAACACTCTTAAGGGAAATGATCAGTTTCTTAATTAACTTGTGATGAAATGCATGATGTTGTTGGAAAATATGTATTCTGCCTGGTTTTAACTGACTCTATAATATTATTAATTTATTAATATTTCCAGTTTTTGCATAAGAATCACTAGTACTTTTTAAAGTGAACCTCTTACAAAACAAAATATATTTCAGTCTTTAGAGAGTTAAGTCATTAGACATAGCAAGTTCAAAAAGCAGGATTTGAGATCATTTTTGGTAAGACCTGTTTTGCTGACTCTTCTTGTTATGCAAATGGCATTTTCTCAGTTTTGTATCCTGGGTACCATGTAAATGGATAGAGAATGATGAGGGTTGCTCACTGTTGGTTCCTATAAAAAGTAATTACTAAAAAACATACCACATAGCCATTTACAAATATGACTGCTAAGTTTATATTGCAGAGCAGCACTTCCTGAGCCCAATGTAATAATGGCTTAATCTAATTACATACACATATGCTTGTTAACACATGTAAGTTTCCAGTACACAATAATAGTGCTCTATATCTCAAGAGCTTTAGTATTACTATTGCACTGAGACATAAACACTTTTTAATAACTGTCCTTTAAGGATTTTCAAAGAAAAAACAATCTATGAAAAACTCTGTTAACAGGGAGTTCTTAGGAAGAAAATAAGGAATAATGGGCATAAAGAGATGCTAATATTTTGTGATTGTCTTGCAGCAAAATGTTATTAAAAGGGATAGTTAAAGAGGTTATTATTTCACCTTTGCAAATACTAATGGGTGCTCTTGCCTCCTTCATTGAACTTTTAGCTCTCCAAAGGAATTGCAGTGGTCAGTTTGTTGCAGAAGCTGGGTACCTAAGCACTGCCAAATGCCCCACCCACAGATCTCTACTCCAACTGCAAACAAGCCCAGGAAGGAATGTTTTTTCTCTCTCTCTCACATTCGATACAACTGCTCAATCTACTTCTCTCTGGTAGACATAGCTCCAAAAACCAATGACTGATTGAACAAATTAAAGGGAATCCTGCCACTAGAATAAAAATTATTCTAATCTGGCTGGTATTTTTATTAATTATATTCTTACATAACAATCTGGCAGAATTTGAGTGAATCTGCCAGCTTCTGTACACAGACCTCATTGTCTCTAAATGATTCACCTAACTGCCAGTGGTCATAAATACAATAATAACAACAGCAACCACCGGAGCAAATTAAAATGTTTTACACTGGTAAACAGCGTAACTGTTTGGCTGAAACTGTCACTTAAAATCTTAAATTATCTCACTAGGTAGGGGTATGAAATTTCAACACAACTAGGGAACTAAGTCTAAGCTATTTAATATTTGAATAATATTAAAAACAAGAGTAAAATACTTAACCATGCTGTAATTTCCCAGCATTCCTCTTGTAGCCACCCGCACTGTGACTTTTGCCTTTCTCTCTTTTTTCACTTCCATTACCTCCTCTGTAATTGAAGCATCCACCTCTTTATATTTCCTTCAACAGACAAGGTTTTATTTTCCATGTCCTTTACCACTACTGTGATTGAAGATTTCCTACTTTCTCTATTCCCATCATTCACATCAAAGTTAATATGTTCCCGCCTTGTAACACACCCACCTTGTACATTTTAATTAAGACAGGCACTCCTGTATTCTGTGTGTTCATCACCTGATCTTCACTCATATTCTTCTCTTTCTGTTTTTTTCTTATACTCAATGACTATTTTCACTCTTCCCCAAGATTCACGTTTTATAAATTCCAATTTTCCCAAAGCGAAGTGACACACATGTTCCTTTTGTCTAAACTGACCTGTATGCTAATGACTCTTAATTTCATTCTAAGAAAAGAAGAAAAGAGAGGAAAAAGAGCATTTATGGTATACAAACTGTATAAGCATGCCCACTAGACATACTGTTATGTCTGTGGGAGATAAGCTGTTCTAAAAATAATTCCTCAAAAGCAAATAGCAGACTCTGAAGGTTAATGTAATATGTACAGCATTCCCATTTCCTTTCTTTCTGTTGTGTTGAGGATCACCAAACAAGCTAATAGCCCTCAAGTGTGGGATCACGTTAAACAAAAACAGGACATTTTGATTCATGGATGTGCCAAGTTACAAAGTTTATCCTTTCAAAAGTTTAATGCTGAGTGATATGGTTAGGCTTTGTGTCCCCACACAAATCTCATCTTGAATTGTAACCCCGTAATCCCCACGTGTGAAGGAAGAGACCAGGTGGAGGTAATTGAATCATGGGGACAGTTTCCCCCATGCTGTTCTCACGATAGTAAGTTCTCAGGAGATCCGATGGTTTTATAAGGGGCCCTCCCCACTTCACTAGGCACTTCTCCTTCCTGCCGCCTTGCGAAGAAAGTACCTCGCTTCCCTTTCACCTTCTGCCATGATGAGGCCTCCCCAGCCATGCTGAACTGTGAGTTAGTTAAACCTCTTTCCTTTATAAATTATCAGTGTCAGGCAGTTATTTATAGCAGTATGAAAAAAAGACTAATACCCTGGGTATCAAGGTCTTTATGGTTTTCATCAGGATACCAAGTTCTAGCCCACAGCCTGTGAGTTATAGGGTGGCTTGGTGGCTTGGTCATGATGACAAACCCCATCAATTCCCAAATATGTTGAATTAATTAATTAACACATTAATTCAACAAGTATTTATGCAGTGCCTTGTCTATGCTCAGCATTCTGTGAGATACTGTCTGGTAAACAAAATACACCTAAGACATAGTGTCTTACCTGAAATAGAATCCTAGGGAATTAGGTGGGCAGGCATACCTAATCTGTAATTGAGTTGGTACTAAAATCAGTGCTGGTTTCTATGTTGTTGTTGTTGTTGTTATTGTTTGGGGTTTGGGCTTGGGTTTTGGGTTTTCCTGTATATTTCCACTTGAGTAGTAATGTTACAGTATGTTTGTTTATTTGTCTTGTTTGTTTTTGGTTTTGGACTTGGTTGACAAAATCAGAATATATATGTTATGGGTTTGCAGTTTTCAATCACTTTTTAACCCTGTTAACTTTAGTCTCAAGTAAACAAAAAATTACTGAGACTTCTATAAATCTAAGCAATGTCAGGTTCAGAAAAAGGGTGGCATTTGTGGTGTATGCCTTTTCACTCCCCTTTGCTCTAGTATCTCAGGCTTTCCTGTGTCCTCCAGGCTGACATTTAGTCCCATGGAAACAAGACTTATAAGGAGCATTACTCTTTTTCATTCCATTAAAATTTACCTTAACGTTGTGCCATTTCTTCCAGGAGTTCCCTTTACATATTTCTGTCATCTAAAAAATAAATCAGTTTCTCTTTAAATTAAACCTTCCTGGCTCCTTTGCCCCATTGAATCCTGGAGGAAAACAGGAAATTAAGTATGAAATTCAGGTATTAATTAAAATAAATGCTCATAGTGCCCTATTAAATTGGCTGCATTTTGACAGGAACACTGGTTCAAGAGTTACCTACTCTCAACTGCTGTAATCTATATACCTCCATCATTTCCAAGCATCAGTCAAGTTCTGAAACACGGACTTCTAACTTCATAGGCAATTGTTTACCAGCGTTTCAGTTTATTACTAAACACTGGAAATTATACCAGACATCTTAGTCCTGGATGGGGCATGCCCTTCTGATCAGCAAGTCTGTTCAGTTATAACCCAAAACGCCATACAGTTTAAGGAGAATGAAAACAGAGGTACCAAACCTTTTGAGGAATTGTCTTTTCCACTTTTAGCTGTTTCTATCTAAAGAACTGGGGCTAGCCCCAAACCATCAGCGTGCCCTTTCCTCATGGACAGTGTGGGAGAAATACAGACCAATCCCTTCTCTTTGTGGATTTCATGCAGTCCCACTCTTCTAATTTTATTTGTCAGTAACATGTTCCAGTTTCTGAGATCACAATTAATCTTACATTAATTACATTTTAAATTAACCACAATATGCTCTTTCAGCAGCACTTAAAATGTCATCAGCAAGACATTGCATAAATCATTGTTGAGCGTGGTTTACTTGTGAGGAGATTTATGTAGATGATAATTCCTTAAAAGGCACATGGATTTTTTAAAACTCTTATCAAAGTATGATATTTCTGGGGTTCGACCACAGTTACAGGAAGGTCATAGTGTATCCGGCAGTTTGCACAGCCCTTCACCTAATTTTGCCAACAAGCATATGAAGGGAAATATATTTTCTTCTGTGATTATCCATTTTGTGTTTTGTCAGTTTCAATGACTTCTCTTCCAGATTTATGAAGTTTATATGGCACTGTTATGAGAGACCTATTCCAACTCTGCCTTTTAGTACCTCCAGACCCCTAATGACACAATTATGAGCTTTCTCAAGTAATGTTATTGCTTAAACCTTTAAAGTCTCCCAAAGCTCGGAGCACTATTTGCAAATATGTAGTAAATTAAACTGCAACACCTGCTACTGTGTAGTTGTGTCACAGGTCATTTCATCTCTCTGGGTATCAGTTTCCTCAAATGTCAAAATAAAGGGAAGCTAGAATCACTGTAAGATCTTCTGCAAGTCTAAAATTCTGGTATTCTCTGAACAATGCTATAGATAGTTGACTTTCACTTTCCTCATATCACACTGACTGATTGATGTTGATTCTTATCTCAAAAAGTAAGATTTCTAGCTCTAGAGAGACCTTCAAGATTGTCAGCTCTAACACCTCCATTTTGCAGATAAAGGAAACTTAGGGCTTGAGAAATGAAGTGACTTCTCAAACTTTCCACAGTCAGCAAGTGGCTGGCACTAAATGCCAACTCTCCTGCTACTGATAAAGTTCTCTCTCCTCTACTCCATGAAAAAAAAAATTCTTGCATTTTTATTTAAGTTGAAGATATTTCAAAGTAAACCTGATCAATGAAATTCAACTGTGAACACGTATGTCAGAATATTACAGTCAGGAAACAGGAAAGGGGGATGAAAAATGGCATGTGTAGTAGGACCCAGACAGCCAAATTAATATTGATTCAAAGAACCAGAACTGCAATGAAATAAGGACAGAACTAAAGAAATTCAGAGGTTTGGGGAAAAGAAAAAATTTAATAAAAATGGAAATAAGACTCAGACAAGCACAGCTATGCTTTTGTCATTGACATTCAGTACTATTAAGTTCATCTTCATCGGGACATTGGTAAGGAAAGGCGTGTGATCTCTTTGCAGACTGATAGACTTTTTGGCCCTGTAATGATAGACTTTGTCTTTTTTTTTTTAGAACTCTAGTTGCAAAACTCTGCTTATACGTGAAAAAAAGATCAGTCTGCATCTGTCCCTGTTGCTAATAGTAACCATCTTTCAAATATTGCCAGCTTTTCATATCACAAGCATTTTGGTCCAACTCACTTCACCTCATTCAGTCTTCGCTACTCAGGACTTCCTTTTAATTGACACACAATAATTATACATATTTATGGGGTACAATGTGATGTTTCAGTACACATATGCATTGCCTAACGATCAAGTCAGGGTATTTAGCAAACCCGTGACCTCAAATATTTATTATTTCTTTGTGGTAAACACTTTTAGAATCCTCTCTTTTAGGAATTCTTTGTATAGTTTCAAGGCTTCTGCCACCTCCACAGAATGCTTTTTGGTTCTCTCTGTGATCTGCACAGTGTATTTTTTCTCATTTCATCTACTGCTTGTCCTACACTTTCATTTCTTCATAGCACTCCTGATGTATTTCAAAATCTTTAAAAGCATTACTGGTAATCATCATAATAATAATAATGAGGCTATAACATTTTCCATACCACAGTCTTAGAAATCATCTAGTTTATTACGTTCAAAAAATTTCCCAAAAGAAGGCCTACCAAACATGTAATAAACCTAAAAATGTATCAGGCACTAGTTCAGAGGCTGCATACACCAATCTGATGCTCATAAACTCATTCTAGCTATTTGTACAATACAGGCTTTCTTCTCCAAGGTTTCCATAGAGTCCTAGAGGAATTATTAGAATCCTGAGCCGGAATTAAATGAAATGAGTGTTAAACTGTGATCTGGTAAATTGAGGTAGATGGTGCAAACAGCTGATTGTTAAAGGAAAGTATCCTCAAGCCTCACAGTTGCAGGGTCTGTTTTATAATCTCATATCCTAGTTTTGCCTATTTGGCCATTGAAAACCAATCCAAACAGCCTCTTTAAGTGACAGCTAGATTCAATTCCTGTTGAGGTGTTGTTGTTTAAACCCTCTCTCCAGAGAGCTTCAGTGGGATTGAAAAATACTTGTTCCCTGGAAGCTACAGTAGGAATGCTCTATGATTTGTGCATAATACATATGATAATCTGAGCTTTAAATTAATCCCTAACCCTTCTGGATAATACGCTGCAGGTAATTTCTCCTTCCTATATTACACTGCGGAAGCTAGAATTCAGAAGTATAGTCTTGCTCACCTTTTAAGGATAATAGAGCTTCAAAACAGTATTGCAGGAAGCAAAGTGGAATAAACAGAAAACTGTCAAACTAGATGCCACTACTGTGAGTTGTTGAAAAGGTTAAATGTCAGAAGCAAATATAATTGGATGACTGGAATGAATGACTAAGTGCTTTTTACACTAAGTTGCTTGTTTCACAAGCAACCCTAGACCCTTAGAAACAGGGTTGATGAAGTCAAAGGGACGGCCATTCTGTCTTGTCTTTCCCCTTCTCAGATCAGCAGAAAAGCAGCAGAAAAACATGGTGTTGGATTGTAGTCCCTACAGATTTGGTACTTCCAAGACTCTCCCACTCCAGCAAAAAGAAAGGACACTCATAACCTTTCCTTTTTTTCTACTCCATGGTAAAAATCTAGAGATGGGTATAGTGCAAAATATTCAGATTTTGGAGAATTATTATCCATTTTGTACTTAAAAAAAAGAAATCTTTTGAGAATTTAAACCCATTGTTTAATAGGATCTCAAATAAAGCAATTGCACTAAAATTCAAGCCAAAGAAGCCATTAAGAACTGATCATTTATTTGGAGGAATTAATGTTATTTTCCTTTAAGGAAACAAAGATAAGAAGCATAGATGTTTTAAATGCAGTTCTTAAAACAATCTTTTCTTCTTAATGCTTCAGAAATTGTTTATGATCAAAAGATGCTTCTGCGTTTTTATATTAAAGCCCTGCCTTGGGCAGGGAGCAAGGAGAATATATCATTATTAGTGGGAAGCTCGCAAGAAAGATGAGTGTCCCCCACTCTCTCTCCTCCTCTCTGGAGTCCAACTGCAGCTGTAACTTTGGCTCTGAAATTTGAACAAGGGAGGAAGAAGGCTGGATCTGGTGTCAACTGTGAACGTGATTTCCCCCAAGGCAAGAGCCACCCCAAACAGGGCATGTACTTTAAATTGCTTTTCGGGTAAAGGTCCGAGGTTTCCATTGAACCAGTAGCCTAAAGTTGTGAACCCAACACGAGACTTCCTGTATTCCCACTCTGCTTCTACCACAAACCAGTTTTAGGAGCTTGAAAAGATCACAGAGCTGCTATAGGCCTCTTTTCTCCCCTCTGTCAAGTGAGGAACTAGGAGGAGGTGGCTTTTAGTCTTTTTCAGTTTCTGACTGTGTGAAAGCTATATTCTTCCTGACTGGTGAAAGCTTTGTATATTATCCCTCACAAGGGATGTTTTCTTTTTAACAAGAAAACAACAGGAGATAGGTAATATCAGCAAATACTGCATGATTTCTCGTATAAAAAGGCATCTAAAATAATCAACAGTATGGCGATAGAGAATAGAATGGTGGAAGGGCATGGAATCAGGGGGATAACGAGAGCTGTTACTCAATAAATATAAATTTATTCAAGATGAATAAGTTCCAGAGATCTCCTGTACAACGTGATACCTATAGTGAACAGTAAAGTATTATATACTTAAAAATTTATTGAGAGAGATCTTGTGTTAAGTATCCTTGTCACACACACACACAAAGAGGACACAAGAAGACTTTTGGCGGTGTGGATACGTTTATTACCCAGGTTGTGGGGATGATAATGTAACTGAACCCAGGACTGGCCACTTGCTACTTAAAAGCCAGACATGACAGACGAGGGTTGGTAGGAGGAAAATGAGGTTTATCCATAGAGCCAGTACACCGCAAAGAGGGTGGACTATAGCCTCAAAGACCATCTTAAGTCAGCACAGGTGTTAGGCTGTCTTTATGTTAAGGGCAGGGGGAAGAGAAGGGGAATCTAGATCAAGAGCTGACCAATAACTGCAGACATCTGGGCAGCAGCAAGGGTCCGAGAAGGTTGAGAACGTCTTTGTCCTGGGTCAGGTCACAATGCTCCTATAAATCCTTAACAAAACAGAGTTGTTTACATACTTCCCCCTTTAATCCCAGATTTAGTTGTAAATCTGATTTACAACTAAATACATGATTTAATGTAACATCACATACATTTCTGTTACATTAGGATTAGAGACAAGTTCTATTTAGAAATAACTTCAACAGTTTTTATATTTTATTTTCACATTGAAAATCGGTCAGACTTGCTTCAGCCTCAAAGAGCATGTTTATATTATAATTAAATGAGCACTGGTGGTGAGCTGTAGTTTCTGTTTCTAAATGGGAAATGGGTTAAACCAAAATGAAGTTAATTATATTAGTTTTTTTGCTGTTTCACTGTTACAGTAATGCTAGTGTGTAGACATACATATGCGTATATGTATATGTGTGTATATATATATATATGTCCAACCTCAACAAAATTGTATACATTAATTATGTGCAGTTTTTAGTATACCAATTAGACCTCAATAAAGCTGGAAAAATGACAAAAGAAGACAGATAGCATCCTGAGTGCCTCCCCAACCTACCTGAACCCCAGTAGATTGGTGTGTAGGTAGGAACTGGACCTTTCATCTCTGTCTTCCCAATGTCCAGTACACTGGGCACTTAGTAGGTATTACATAAATGTGTGTTACTGGTCGGTTTAAATCAACAACCTGATACCTTTCTGAGAGTAGAATATGAGACCTAGTTTAGGTACCAGGTAAAGAGATTCTAACCTGCTTTCTCTACGTAAGACTAACCTCACCCTGGCCATGTTAATTCCAATCCTTAATCTTTTAATCTAATGAGTTAACTATCAGTTGTATAATTTTTATCTGATTATTCCAATTCATCACATTTAATTATCTTACTGTTTCTGCCTTCCATTAGTGAGGAGGAGAAAACATTTGCTAATAATTTTATTATGTAGTAGGGACTGTAGTAAGTACTTTATATATCCCATCATATTTTATTTAACAGCATTCTCAAAAACACTGAGGTAGAAATTATGACACTTATTTTACAGGTGAGGAAGCAGCTCGTAGCATTTTAGTAACATGTCCAGATTCTCATCACTAAGCAGCATCATAGCTAGGACTGGAAACAAGCCTGTTTCCAAAGCCTGCTTTTTTTTTTTTTTTCCTGCGCTCACTGCACTGGAGTTTTCTTCCCCTACCAAATAAATCAACATTATTTCTGAGATTGCATAATGGGAGTATGAGGGACTTGGATAGGAAGCAGAGAACTGTCTGAAATGACATTTTCTAATATTGGTGGTAGATTGCATTGATCCAGTGAGATGAACATCTCCATCTCACTAGCCACCCCTATGGTCATCAATGTGCATCTTGTTATGTATTTTGGTGCACCTAGTGGTACAAATGAGACCACAAATCTTATTCTTGTGTAAAGCATCAGATTGTTTTGGGCTCGCCATCCATGTCTTTTGCCTCATTAGAGCCATATTCTACTCAATCCAGTGAGAAAATTGCCATAGACGACTTTTCAGATAACAATGATGAATACTACTTTATATATGTATACACACACAATGTGTGTGTGTGTGTGTGTGTGTGATCAATTCTTTCAGCTTAGTAAAACAAAAGTGTTAGCAGAATTTTTACATTCAAGTTTTCTGACAGTCATAATGGTAAATAAATAACTCTAATTCTGTTTCTCAGGTGAAGCGAAGTTCGGAAGTTGTCAGGCTACTGACCACTCTGATGGAACTAGCAAGGAAATGTGTGTCATATATTATTTTGGAAAAAGAGGATTTTTAAACTGAATTCTTAAAGTTGTGAAGAGAAAAACTGAAACCTATTTTCTCCTCTTGGTTACCAGTGTCCATTTAGCGCCCAGAAATATCAAATGGGGATCAGAGTAGCCCTAAAATGATGCCATAACACACCTTGCAAGTTTCTTTCATTGTGAAATTTGTGAGTCTGATAATACATCTTTTTTCATGTTTCTAGTTAGCCCCTTTATTGCATGATTAATAAAAGCAAAGGGATGAAGGACTGGGGAACTCAGTGGGCAATGTATGCGATAATAATATCTAATCAATTTCCTTCTGCAAGTTTGATTACATTAAGACTTCTGGAGAAGAAAATTGATTGGACTCATTCACTTGGGAACCTTTCAGGAAACAAAGTGATTTCTTTTAGTTTTCTATTGCAACTGATATTATGGGCCTAGAGCCAAGGAAAAATGAATTGTCCTATCCTAATCAATTACTTAAATCTGGTTTTTATACCAAGTGTTCATAAAATTGGCAAAGCATTGAATGGGTGGAAAAATGCTAAACAGGAAATAGAAAAAGAACAAATCAAATTTAAGTAAACAAGGATGAAAGGAAAATTATATGTATAATATATATTATGTATAATGTATATAATATATAAATATATATTTATATATTTTTTGAGACAGGGTCTTGCCCTATTGCTAGGACTACAGATACACACTACCATATCTGGCTTATTTTGTTCATTTTTTGTAGAGATGAGGTCTCACTATGTTGTACAGGCTGATCTTGAACTCCAGAGCTCAAGTGATCCTCCTGCCTCAGCCTCCCAAAGTGCTGGGATGACAGTTGTAAGCCACTGCACCCGGGAGGAAGAATGCGTATTAAAGGAAGTAATTTAGCCTTATCTCACCTCAGGTGTCCAGACATTTATTGAGCACCTACTATGTGTCCGGCCTTTAACTAGATGTTAGAAGTCTAAAGGTGAATAAATCATCATATCTCTAACTTTAAGGGCCTCCCGCTCTAATAAGAAAACATGCACACACACGCACACACACACGCACACACACACACACACACAGAGTTGTGAAACTACTAGATGGATCAATGGCAAAGATGAGGATAGGGAACAATTATAGCACAAGAAAAGGCTCCTAATTCATAGAATTAGGTAAAAAGGTATTTGCTTTGAGGCAAAAAAAATACATCAGAGTGTACAAAAAAGAAAAAGAAAAACTGTGTGGACCACAGGATTTTGTAATTGCTGAGCATGCTGTGTGAGACATGGAAGCTTACAACATGAGGAGCAGTGAGGGTAATAGAGAAGATGGATTGTAGAAAATCATAGGTGCTGCTCTTTGTGAAGCAGGTTGTACTTCAGGCAGTAGAAAACCACTGAATGTTTTTAAATGGTGGACAATATGGTCAGATTTAGGTGTTGAAGGGATGATTCTGGCACCATTATAGAACATGACTTTTACTAGGAAAAGATGAGAGAAAAAAGACCAGTGAGGATATAGAGATTTTCCTTGTATGCTGCAAATGGAATTCCTCTTTCAATTTTATTTTGAAGGATCTCCACTGGATTTAAGTAGTCAATGAATTAAAAAATAAGGGAGTGAATAAGAAAGGAGGAATTATAGCTATAGCCAACAATTAATATCTATGGCTATGAAGATGGAAGTTGACTTCATTGAGCAAACAGGAACACACTTTTAGTATTTAGGCTAATGAGTTAGCACATCTGATCATTTATCTTCAATCTGTCCACAGAAGATCTTTTGAGGTAAAGGATTTCCAAAGAAGTGGGCTTATGTCAAATGTTCCAAGATCTTGAACAATTACGGTCCTTTCAGAAGGGCAGATAAAATCCAATCACAGGCATAATTGTTTTATTGGGTTTTGCTTTATTGAGCTTCGCAGATACTGCACTTTTCACAAATTGAAGGTTTGTGACAACCCTGTTTTAAGCCAACCCTATTGGCGCCATTTTCTTGCAGCATTTGCTCACTTCATACCTCAGTGTCACATTTTGATAATTCTCCCAACAATTCAAAATTTCTCATTATTATTATATCTGTTATGGTGATTTGTGATCAGTGACCTTTGATAATACTATTATAATTGTTTTGGGGAACCATGAACTCTGCCCGTACAAGACAATGAATTTAATCAATAAATGTTCTGTGTGTTCTAACTGCTCCACCGACCAGCCATTACCCCATCTCTCCCTCTCCTCAAGACCCCCTATTCCCAAAGACACAATACTGAACTTAGGCCAGTTAATGACAGTACAGCGGCCTCTAAGTGTTCAAGTGAAAAAAAGAGTCACACATCTGTCACTTTAAATCAAAAGCTAGAAATCATTAAGCTTAGTGAAGAAGGCATGTCAAAAGCAAAGATAGGCCCAAAACTATATCTCTTATACCAAACAGCCAAGGTGTGAATGCAAAGAAAAAGTTCTTAAGGACATTGAAAGTGCTACTCCAGTGAAAACATGAACGATAGAAAAGTGAAACAGCTTTATTGCTGATATGGAGAAAGTTTTGATGGTCTGCATAGAACCAACCACAACATTCCCTTAAGCCACAGCCTATTCCAGAGCAAGGCCCTAACTCTCTTCAACTCTGTGAAGGCTCAGAGAAGTGAGAAAGCTGCAGAAGAAAAATTTGAAGCTAGCAGAGTTGGTTCATGAGATTTAAGGAAAGAAGCCTTCTCTATAACGTGAAAGTGCAAGGTGAAACAGCAAATGCTGATGTAGAAGCTGCAACAAGTTATCTAGAAGGTCTAGCTAACGTAATTGATGAAGGCAGCTATACTAAACAACAGAGTTTCAATCTAGATGAAACATCTTTCTATTGGAAGAAGATGCCATCTAGGACTTCTATAGCTAGAAAGAAAAAGTGGATGTCTGGCTTCAGGACTTCAAAGGACAGACCTTGTTAGGTTACTTGAAGTTGAAGCCAATATTCACTTACTGTTCTGAAAATCCTGAGACTCTTAAGAGTTCTACTATCTCTACTCTGCCTGTCCCCTAGAAATGGAATAACAAAGCCCGGAAGACAGCACATCTGTTTATGCATGGCTTACTAAATATTTTAAGCCCACTATTGAGACATACATAGAAAAAAAAAAGATTTCTTTCAAACTGTTAGTGTTCATTGACCTTGCACCTCATCACCCAAGAGCTCTGATGGAGATATACAAGAAGATTAATGTTGTTTTCATGCATGCTAACACAACGTCTATTCTGAAGCCTGTGAATCAAGGAGTAATCCTGACTTTCAAATCTTATTATTTAAGAAATACAATTCATAGGGCTAGAGCTGCCAAACAGAGTGATTTCTCTAGTAGGTCTGGGCAAAATAAATTTTGAAACTACTGGAAAGGACCCACCATTTTAGATGTCATTAAGAGCATTTGTGATTAATGAGAGGGAGTCAAAAGGTTAACATTAACAGGAGTTTAGAAGAAGTTGATTCCAACCCTTATGGATGACTTCGAGGGGTTCAAGACTCCAGTGGTGGAAGTAACTGCAGATGTGGTAGAAATAACAGGAGAAGTAGAATTAAATTTTGAGCCTGAAGGTGTGACTGAATTGCTGTAATTTCATGATAAAACTTTAATGGATGAGATGTTGCTTCTTCCAGATGAGCAAAGAAATTGGTTTCTTTTTTTTTATTATTATACTTTAAGTTCTAGTGTACATGTGCACAGTGAGCAGGTTTGTTACATATGTATACATGTGCCATGTTGGTGTGCTGCACCCGTTAACTGGTCATTTACATTAGGTATATCTCCTAATGCTATCCCTCCCCCCCCCACCACCCCCATGACAGGCCCCAGTGTGTGATGTTCCCCTTCCTGTGTCCAAGTGTTCTCATTGTTCAATTCCCACCTATAAATGAGAATATGTGGTGTTTGGTTTTCTGTCATTGCGATAGTTTGCTCAGAATGATGGTTTGCAGCTTCATCCATGTCCCTACAAAGGACATGAACTCATCCTTTTTATGGCTGCATAGTATTCCATGGTGTATATGTGCCACATTTTCTTAATCCAGTCTATCATTGTTGGACATTTGGGTTGGTTCCAAGTCTTTGCTATTGTGAATAGTGCCACAATAAACATACATGTGCATGTGTCTTTATAGCAGCATGATTTATAATCCTTTGGGTATATACCCAGTAATGGGATGGCTGGGTCAAATGGTATTTCTAGTTCTAGATCCCTGAGGAATCGCCACACTGACTTCCACAATGGTTGAACCAGTTTACAGTCCCACCAACAGTGTAAAAGTGTTCCTATTTCTCCACATCTTCTCCAGCACCTGCTGTTTCCTGACTTTTTAATGACCACCATTCTAACTGGTGTGAGATGGTATCTCATTGTGGTTTTGATTTGCATTTCTCTGATGGCCAGTGATGATGAGCATTTTTTCATCATCTTGGCTGCATAAATGTCTTCTTTTGAGAAGTGTCTGTTCATATCCTTCGCCCACTTGTTGATGGGGTTGTTTGTTGTTTTCTTGTAAATTTGTTTGAGTTCTTTGTAGATTCTGGATATTAACCCTTTGTCAGATGAGTGGATTGCAAAAATTTTCTCCCATTGTGTAGGTTGCCAGTTCACTCTGATGGTAGTTTCTTTTTTGTGCAGAAGCTCTTTAGTTTAATTAGATCCCATTTGTCAATTTTGGCTTTGTTGCCATTGCTTTTGGTGTTTTAGACATGAAGTCCTTGCCCATGCCTATGTCCTGAATGGTATTGCCTAGGTTTTCTTCTAAGGCTTTTATGGTTTTAGGTCTAACATTTAAGTCTTTAATCCATCTTGAATTCATTTTTGTATAAGGTGTAAGGAAGGGATCCAGTTTCAGCTTTCTACATATGGCTAGTCAGTTTTGTTAAATAGGGAATCCTTTCCCCATTTCTTGTTTTTGTCAGGTTTGTCAAAGATCAGATAGTTGTAGATGTGTGGTATTATTTCTGAGGACTCTGTTTTGTTCCCTTGGTCTATATCTCTGTTTTGGTACCAGTACCATGCTGTTTTGGTTACTGTAGCCTTGTAGTATAGTTTGAAGTCAGGTAGCATGATGCCTCCAGCTTTGTTCTTTTGGCTTAGGATTGACTTGCCAATGTGGGCTCTTTTTGGTTCCATATGAACTTTAAAGTAGTTTTTTCCAATTCTGTGAAGAAAGTCATTGGTTGCTTGATGGGGATGGCATTGAATCTATAAATTACCTTGGGCAATATGGCCATTTTCATGATATTGATTCTTCCTACCCATGAGCATGGAATGTTCTTCCATTTGTTTGTATCCTCTTTTATTTCATTGAACAATGGTTTGTAGTTCTCCTTGAAGAGGTCCTTCACATCCTTTGTAAGTTGGATTCCTAGGTATTTTATTCTCTTTGAAGCAATTGTGAATGGGAATTTACTTGTGATTTGGCTCTCTGTCTGTTATTGGTGTATAAGAATGCTTGTGATTTTTGCACATTGATTTTGTATCCTGAGACTTTGCTGAAATTGCTTATCAGCTTAAGGAGATTTTGGGCTGAGACGATGGGGTTTTCTAGATATACAATCATTTCATCTGCAAACAAGGACAATTTGACTTCCTCTTTTCCTAATTGAATGCCCTTTATTTCTTTCTCCTGCCTGACTGCCCTGGCCAGAACTTCCAACACTATGTTCAATAGTAGTGGTGAGAGAGGGCATCCTGGTCTTGTGCCTGTTTTCGAAGGGAATGCTTCCAGTTTTTGCCCATTCAGTATGATATTGGCTGTGGGTTTGTCATAAATAGCCTTTATTATTTTGAGATACATCCCATCAATACCTAATTTATTGAGAGTTTTTAGCATGAAGGGCTATTGAATTTTGTCAAAGGCCTTTTCTGCATCTATTGAGATAATCATGTGGTTTTTGTCGTTGGTTCTGTTTATATGCTGGATTACATTTATTGATTTGCATATGTTGAACCAGCCTTGCATCCCAGGGATGAAGCCCACTTGATCATGGTGGATAAGCTTTTTGATGTGCTGCTGGAGTCAATTTGCCAGTATTTTATTGGGGATTTTTGCATCAATGTTCATCAGGGATATTGGTCTAAAATTCTCTTTTTTTGTTGTGTCTCTGCCAGGCTTCGGTATCAGGATGATGCTGGCCTCATAAAATGAGTTAGGGAGGATTCCCTCTTTTTCTATTGATTGGAATAGTTTCAGAAGGAATGGTACCAACTCCTCCTTGTACCTCTGGTAGAATTTGGCTGTGAATCTGTCTGGTCCTGCACATTTTTTGGTTGGTAAGCTATTAATTATTGCCTCACTTTCAGAACCTGTTATTGGTCTATTCAGAGATTCAACTTCTTCCTGGTTTAGTCTTGGAAGGGTGTATGTGTCCAGGAATTTATCCATGTCTTCTGGATTTTCTAGTTTGTTTGCATAGAGGTGTTTATAGTATTCTCTGATGGTAGTTTGTATTTCTGTGGGATCAGTGGTGATATCCCCTTTATCATTTTTTATTGTGTCTATTTGATTCTTCTCTCTTTTCTTCTTTATTAGTCTTGCTAGCGGTCTATCAATATTGTTGATCTTTTCAAAAAACCAGCTCCTGGATTCATTGATTTTTTTTTTTGAAGGGTTTTTTGTGTCTTTGTCTCTTCCAGTTCTGCTCTGATCTTAGTTATTTTTTGCCTTCTGCTAGCTTTTGAATGTGTTTGCTCTTGCTTCTCTAGTTCTTTTAATTGTGATGTTAGGGTGTCAATTTTAGATCTTTCCTGCTTTCTCTTGTGGGCATTTAGTGCTATAAATTTCCCTCTACACACTGATTTAAATGTGTCCCAGAGATTCTGATATGTTGTGTCTTCATTCTCATTGGTTTCAAAGAACATCTTTATTTCTGTCTTCATTTTATTATGTACTTAGTAGTCATTCAGGAGCAGGTCGTTCAGTTTCCATGTAGTTGAGTGGTTTTGAGTGAGTTTCTTAATCCTGAGTTCTAGTTTGATTGCACTGTGGTCTGAGAGACAGTTTATTATAATTTCTGTTCTTTTACATTTGCTGAGGGGTGCTTTACTTCCAACTATGTGGTCAATTTTGGAGTAAGTGCAGTGTGGTGCTGAGAAGAATGTATATTCTGTTGATTTGGGGTGGAGAGTTCTGTAGATGTCTATTAGGTCCACTTGGTGCAGAGCCGAGTTCAATTCCTGGATATCCTTGATAACTTTCTGTCTTGTTGATCTGTCTAATGTTGACAGTGGCGTGTTGAAGTCTCCCATTATTATTGTGTGGGAGTCTAAGTCTCTTTGTAGGTGTCGAAAGACTTGCTTTATCAATCTGGGTGCTCCTGTATTGGGTGCATATATATTTAAGATAGTTAGTTCTTCTTGTTGAATTGATCCCTTTACCATTATGTAATGGCCTTCTTTGTCTCTTTTGATCTTTGTTGGTTTAAAGTTTGTTTTATCAGAGACTAGGATTGCAACCCCTGCCTTTTTTTGTTTTCCATTTGCCTGGTAGATCTTCCCCCATCCCTTTATTTTGAGCCTATGTGTGTCTCTGCACATGAGATGGGTTTCCTGAATACAGCACACTGATGGGTCTTGACTCTTTATCCAATTTGCCAGTCTGTGTCTTTTAATTGGAGCATTAGCCCATTTACATTTAAGGTTTATATTGTTATGTGTGAACTTGATCCTGTCATTATGATATTAGCTGGTTATTTTGCTCGTTAGTTGATGCAGTTTCTTCCTAGCCTTGATGGTCTTTACAATTTGGCATGTTTTTTCAGTGGCTGTTACTGGTTGTTCCTTTCCATGTTTAGTGCTTCCTTCAGGAGCTCTTTTAGGGCAGGCCTGGTGGTGACAAAATCTCTCAGCATTTGCTTGTCTATAAAGTATTTTATTTCTCCTTCACTTATGAAGCTTAGTTTGTCTGGATGTGAAATTCTGGGTTGAAAATTCTTTTCTTTAAGAATGTTGAATATTGGCCCCCACTCTCTTCTGGCTTGTAGAGTTTCTGCCAAGAGATCAGCTGTTAGTCTGATGGGCTTCCCTTTGTGGGTAACCCGACCTTTCTCTCTGGCTGCCCTTAACATTTTTTTCTTCATTTCAACTTTGGTGAATCTGACAATTATGTGTCTTGGAGTTGCTCTTCTTGAGGAGTATCTTTGTGATGTTCTCTGTATTTCCTGAATTTGAATGTTGACCTGCTTTGCTAGATTGGGGAAGTTCTCCTGAATAATATTCTGCAGAGTGTTTTCCAACTTGGTTCCATTCTTCCCGTCACTTTCAGGTACACCAATCAGACGTAGATTTGGTCTTTTCACATAGTGCCATATTTCTTGGAGGCTTTGTTCGTTTCTTTTTATTCTTTTTTCTCTAAACTTCTCTTCTTGCTTCATTTCATTCATTTGATCTTCAGTCACTGATACCCTTTCTTCCAGTTGATTGAATCGGCTACTGAAGCTTGTGCATTCGTCACGTAGTTCTCGTGCTATGGTTTTCAGCTCCATCAGGTCCTTTAAGGACTTCTCTGCATTGGTTATTCTAGTTAGCCGTTTGTCAAATCTTTGTTCAAGATTTTTAACTTCTTTGCCATGGGTTCGAACTTCTTCCTTTAGCTCAGACAAGTTTGATCATCTGAAGCCTTCTTCTCTCAACTCATCAAAGTCATTCTCTGTCCAGCTTTGTTGAATTGCTGGTGAGGAGCTGCATTCCTTTGGAGGTGGAGAGGCGCTCTGATTTCATAGAATTTTCAGTTTTTCTGCTCTGTTTTTTCCCCATCTTTGTGGTTTTATCTACCTTTGGTGTTTGATGATGGTGACGTACAGGTGGGGTTTTGGTGTTGATGTCCTTTCTGTTTATTAGATTTCCTTCTAACAGCCAGGACCCTCAGCTGCAGGTCTGTTGGAGTTTGCTGGAGGTCCACTCCAGACCCTGTTTGCCTGGGTATCAGCAGCAGAGGCTGCAGAACAGTGAATATTGGTGAACAGCAAATGTTGCTGCCTGATCGTTCCTCTGGAAGTTTCATCTCAGAGGGGTACCCGGCCGGGTGAGGTGTCAGTCTGCCCCTACTGGGGGGTGCCTCCCAGTTTGGCTACTCCTGGGTCAGGGACCCACTTGAGGCAGTCTGTCCGTTCGCAGATCTCAAGCTCCGTGCTGGGAGAACCACTACTCTTCCAAGCTGTCAGACAGGGACATTTAAGTCTGCAGAGGTTTCTGCTGCCTTTTGTTCGGCTATGCCCTGCCCCCAGAGGTGGAGTCTACAGAGGCAGGCAGGCCTTCTTGAGCTGCAGTGGGCTCCACCCAGTTTGAGTTTCCCGGCCACTTTGTTTACCTACTCAAGCCTCAGCAATGGCGGGCACCCCTCCCCCAGCCTCGCTGCTGCCTTGCGGTTTGATCTCAGACACGCTGTGCTAGCAATGAGCGAGGCTCTGTGGGCATAGGACCCTCTGAGCCAGGTGCGGGATGTAATCTCCTAGTGTGCCATTTGCTAAGACCATTGGAAAAGTACAATATTAGGGTGGGAGTGACCCGATTTTCCAGGTGCCATTTGTCGCCCCTTCCCTTGGCTAGAAAGGGAATTCCCTGACCCCTTGCACTTCCCGGGTGAGGCGATGCCTTGCCCTGCTTCGGCTCATGCTCGGTGCCCTGCACCCACTGTCCTGCACCCACTGTCCAACAATCCCCAGTGAGATGAACCCAGTACCTCAGTTGGAAATGCAGACATCACCCGTCTTTTGTGTCACTTACGCTGGGAGCTGTAGACTGGAGCTGTTCCTATTCAGCCATCTTGGAATCGCCCCCCGAAATTGGTTTCTTGAGATGGAAACTACTCATGCTGAAGATGCTGTGAACATTGTTGAAATGGTAACAACGGATTAAGAATATTACATAAACTTAATTAATAAAGCAACAACGGGATTTGAGAGGACTGACTCCAATTTTGAAAGAAGTTCTACTCTGAGTAAAATGCTTTCAAACAGCATCACACATTACAGAAAAATATTTCATGAAAGGAAGTCAATTGATGTGGCAAACATCATTGTTGCCTTATTTTAAGACACTGCCATGGCCACCCCAGCTTTCAACAACAACTGCCCTCATCAATTGGAAGTCATCAAAATAGAGGCAAGACCCTTCACTAGGAAAATGTTTCCAACTTTTTGAAGGCTCAAATAATCATTGGCATTTTTTTAGCAATGAAGCATTTTTTAAATTAAGGTATGTACATTTTCTTGGTCATAATGCTTTTGCACACTAACTAGACACAGTATAATGTAAACATAACTTTTTTTTTTTATTTTTTTTTTTAGGTGGAGTCTTGCTCTGTTGCCCAAACTGGAGTGCAGTGGTGCAATCTTGGGTCACTGCAACTTCTGCCTCCTGGGTTCAGGTGATTCTCCTGCCTTAGCCTCCTGAGTAGCTGGGATTACAGGCATGTGCCACCGTGCACAGCTAATTTTTGTATTTTTAGTACAGACAGGGTTTCGCCATGATGGCCAGGCTGGTCTTGAACTCCTGACCTCAACTGGTCCATCTGCCTTGGCCTCCCAAAGTGCTGGAATTACAGGTGTGAGCCACTGCGCCCGGGCAAAACAAAACTTTTATATATACTAGGAAACCAAAAAATTCCTGTGACTGTTTTGTAGTATTCACTTTATTCTGGCAGTCTTGAACCAAGTGTACGATATCTCCAAGATATGCCTGTACCTGTCAGAGTTCTACTTTGCATTCAATTACAGCTATTAATCTCCTGCAAGTCATTTTGTCTCTCTGAAGTTTTTTTTTTTTTTTTCTTAAATAGGAGAATACTATTTATCAACTCATTTCATGGGATTATTGTGATAGTGAAATAAGAAACTGTAAGAGAAAACCTTATACTTTTACAAATCTAATTGCTTTTATTATCATTATTGTGTATGTGTGTGTTTGTGTGTGTTCACTGTTAATCTCAATGCCCTTCTTACTATTTTTCTCCCCCTTAAAGCAACCTTGTTCATTCTCACTTTCCCTTCAGGTATCAGTTTTCTAATACCTTCCCCTCATCAAAGTCTAAGTAGAAAAATAAGATATAAGCTATTGACATGTTGAATAAAAACAGTGAGTTTCTACTGCTAGGAATTCCATATCTTGTCTTGGCCCTATCAGCCTTGAAACTAAAATAGGAATTTTCAGGGTTCTTATGGAAAGGTGAGTCTAATGGTTTGAGGCACACACACATATACCCCCATTATATGATTTATTTCAGAGAAAATCATCCTAGATACAGTCCCAATACAGTCAGAAGCCTTGAGAAGCTGAAAATTGGAAGGAAAATGTGGATAGTGTGTGTTCCTATGAGAATTTCCATTTCATCATACAGTAAAAGTCTATGCTGGCTCTCATACATTTCTATAATAAAATGTATCATCAATATCATCAATGAAATATATATATGTATTTCATGTATTTATATATTTCATATATATATAAATGCTGAATTAAATATAAAACTTAAGTATATTACATATCTATTGAATACTGATTTCAGCATTTTTGGATTTGAGGCCTGCTGGGAGCACTGTGTTGACTCAATCTACCACATTGCCCAAGGCTGGCCATCCTTCACATAGTCTTACAGCTTTCTCTGCCCACAACTCCAGGTGTCTGTGTAGCTTTGACTGGCATCTCTGCAGAGCTGAGGGGGCTGTGGGAATGCTGTCTTTCTCCAGGCATCCACAGAGGGGCTGGCTTCAGGTTTAGTTTAGTCCCATAGTCCACTTGTGGGTCAGAGAAATACATTAATTAGGTTAGCTCCTATGTGAGTTATTGCTTCGCAGGTTAAAATCATTCTGATTCTACTTTGGTAATATGCAAGGATTTTCAAAACATTTTCTAAGAGTGTGATATGTGCAGCAAGCATTTAAATTTAGATATCAAATTGTTTTTATTGAATTTCAAACTCAAAAGTGTTTCTAAATATTGTCATTTTGGAATTGGGCCCCCAAAAATAGTAAAAATAGATGTTTAGGTAGAGAAACACATTTGTGTAGCAATGCCTCACCCTGCTACAGCTCGTTCGCTGACACTGCCCAACAAACCCACTGAGGCTTGGTGCGAGAAATTACCTCATTAAATAATCTTATAAAAAAATTGTCAGATGTAACAAAGACTGGACTCTCTGAGCTTTTCTCTATAAAGAATGCATTGTTAAGTTGATCGGGTTAAGGTTCAGTTAGTCCAAGGTAGGGTTTATGAATAGGAAGAAACTTGTCATTCACTTTGTAGATGAGTAAAGCATGTGAATTTAGGGGAAAATATCATCAGTCACTTCCTCAAATTGTTTTTGGAAGTAGCAAAATGTCAACCATATTATTAAATAAGGAAACCATACTTCTTAAATAAACTTCCCTAGAAGCAGATCTAGAGATGAGGATTTGATTTGTGTGCAAGGAATTTATGAAAGGGAGTGTGCTAAGGAAACAATGGAAGCAGGACAGGGAAGGAGTCGAAGGGGAGCAAGAGGGAGGGCCCAGGCAGAAGTCCTCAAGCTCAGGGCGTAGATCTCAGCCAGTCCCTCAGGTGTCCTCAGGAGTGTCAGAGTTTTCCCAACTGGAGGAGAAAAAGCTAGACTGCCATTTTCCCACCCCCAATGGTCATTGGTTACCAGCATGTGTGGAAGATGGCAGTCCTCAGGCACTTCTGGCTCCTGGAGGCTCTGGAAGGCAAAGAGAAGTCTGCCAAAGAATATCACAGATGATGGCCATTGGAAGCTTTCCAAGGGTTCAGGTTTTCAGAACTGTTTAGAAGAGATGGGAAGAGATTTGGGTCATTACAGCACTGGCCGCAGCACTGTCTGCTATGTAAGTGCATGACTAGATGGACCTTGAGCTATTCTTCAGGTCCAGATAAGGGATCTATGTGTCATTTTAAACACTGGCTTCATGTACTTGCCTGACCACAAAGGGCAATGTCACCAGGAATATAAAGTCAAATAAAATGGGTCCTGTAAAAGACAATTTGCTGCTGGGTTGCAGTTTAATCCATGACCTCTTTTGCTTACATGAGATCTTGAAAGAATATTAAATTAAGAGTTATCTTCTATGCTGGCATAAGAAGCAAATAATTTTCCATAATATGGAAATAAAATATGTGAAAAATGTTAAGTTTCTTGAAACAAGAGTTTAACCAGAAGTTAATAAACAACTCTTTCTTCAGGAAACCTTTGACTCATGGTTTATACATACTTTTGTATTAAGTTGTGTAGCATAAAAATAAAAGTATAGCAGTAGTATACTACCACTGGAGTGTCATTCCTGAGATAGCCAGATGTTCAGTTATTTTGAAATAACCCTGGAGTATAACAGTAAAGCTACCCCCTCAAAAAAGTTTTTTGTTATTAGAATTCATGATATTAATCTAAGTTAATCTCTCCATTCCTTTGTGCTCCTCATAACATGTTGTTTAAATGTCTCTACAGTACTGATTCCATCCTATTTTATGTTATTATTATCTTGATGGCTGTATTAGTCCATTCTCATGCTGCTGATAAAGACGTACCAGAGACTGGGCAATTTACAAAGGAAAGATATTTATTGGACTTACAATTTCACGTGGCTGGGGAGGCCTCACAATCATGGTGGAAGGCAAGGAGGAGCAAGTCACATCTTACATGGATGGTGCAGGCAAAGAGAGGAGAGCTTATGCAGGGAAACTCCCCTTTATAAACCCATCAGATCTCGTGAGACTTATTCACTATCACAAAAATAGCCCAGGAAAGGCCTGCCCCCCTGATTCAATTACCTTCCACTGGGTCCCTCTCACAACACATGGGAATTCAAGGTGAGATTTGGTTAGGGACACAGCCAAACCATATCAATGGCAAAACCGTATAAGGTTCATCTTTAGATCATCCAAAACATTTGTCACTGTTCCAGCTCATGATAGATGTTTGAAAACATTTGAATGCATGAATTGGCCTACAATTTCCCTTCTTTGAAACATCTTGTCTTTTATTATAATAGCCAAGTACATTTGCTCTTTGAATAATGATTCACCATACACTCTCCTAGCTGCTTGTTAATTCTTAACTTTCTCTCCCTTGTTCCTTTGGAATCTGTTATCAGTGTTTCGACAGGATGTGCACAAGTGTCAGAGCATATGTTGTCTGCATATGTACCAAAGAAGGCATATCTTTCTTTCCTTTTCTCTGCAATATTCTTCTCTTTAATGCAACTATAAATTCCCAGAACATACCTCCTATTTTGAGCCAAGAATCAGGCTTTGAATAAGGTTTCGCTCATGTAGAGTAGGATTCTGGATATTCAGCTTCAATAGTGAAGCTAAGAATTCTACGTATCTTTTCCTACTAGCTTGGAAAATATATCTTAAACTAGTCCTTGGCTATGACTTTGCCCCTTCTCAGGAATAGACACAGTGTGTTTATGCAAAACAAACACAGCGTTTTCAAAGATAGAGCAAGAGAAAAAAGAGACTTCTCTAATAGGCTTTAATACAAGAATGAATTTCATGGATTTATTTCAGAGCAAATCATCCTCGATGTGGTCCCAATACAGTCAGAAGCCTCGAGAAACTGAAAATTGGGAGGACAATGTGGACAGTGTGTGCTCCTATGAGAATTTCAGTTTCATCACACAGTAAAAGTCTATGCTGGCTGTCATAATTTTTTATAATAAAATTTATCATCAAAAATACTAACAAAATGTTGCAAACCCAACACATTCACAGTCTTCTATAGTTTTAAACATACACTAAGGTCAAAGCCAATAGGATAGTCAGCTGCTTTAATTTAGGAGTAACACGAGAATGGGCCAGCCCCTAGTAGCTCCTCCATTACCTGGTCATATGCGATGTCCACTATGATTGCATCGTAGTTACACTCCTGGGAAAACACACCTGTATCCGAAATCTCCCAAATAGCAAATGGTAGCTGGAATAGGGAAATAGGTGGCTATCACTGAGTGGAATTAAGATCCCTAAGTAAGTGAATTGTAGAGAAGCTCATCTTTGATCAGGGTCATAAAAAATCTGGTGCTGGAAGGCAGGGATTAGGTGAGGCTGTAAAACCGGATGCCCCAAAGCAAATTTGCTTTGTCTTTCTTTCTCCTCACAGACTCATTCCTTATCTTCCCAATTAATGCTATCACTGTTCTCCCCTGGTACCAAAGCTTAAGACCTATGGGTTGTTTGGACGCCTAACTCTTACCCTGCTTGTCCAGTCACGCTCTGGTAATTGCGTTTCTGCTTTATTCCGGTTGCCTTGATTTAGGATTTCATCTTCTCCCACTTAGTTGAGTGCCATTTTCTCCTTCCTGACCTCTCATATTTTTTGTGACTTTTTTTTTCCATCTGAGCAGCTAGACTGACCTCTCGTGTGTTTTAACGTCAGTCCTCTCTTCCACTGCCAGCCATCTCTTCAGTCCCAGGTTTATCTCCATCCCTATCTCCTCCCCCAGCTCCGTGGCTTCTCCCCACTGTCTCCTCCTGTCTTTGCCATGGTGATGGCTACTGTGGAGTGGAGTGTTGGTTAGGGGCCCTGGAGCCCCACCCTTCTAGTTTCGAAACCCACCTCTGCCTTATTACCTGTGTGACCTTGGGCAAGTTATGTAATCTCTCCAACTGTCATTCTCCTTATTTGAAAAATTATACTAATTAATGCCTAACTCAAAAGATTATTTTGAATATTAAATGAGATAATGCCCATAAAGAGTTTAGCACAGGGCGTGTTATACAGTGAAGTATTCACAATTACCATTGAAGAAATTTGATGATTAGCATTTGATATCACTGAGGCTAGGAGATGCAGCAAGAACTTCAGTGGGTAAATTTCTAGGCAGACAAACAATATTACTAAAATAGAAGGTATATGAGCCATCTGCCCCTTTTTACAAGGTATATGAGCCATCTGCCCCTTTTTACAAACTACAGAACATTTAAAATTAATTCAATAAGCAGAATTCCTGGTATTATTATTAAATATCAACTTTTCAATTGACCTGGCCATAAACCATCTGTTGGTTGATAAAGACACACATCCTAAACTTACAGAAATAGTACCATTATTCAACTTTATATGCCAGTGGTTCATTTCTTTAACAAATATGTAGCGCTCTCCTTCATGCTATGCTAGACTGAACTAATTGTTCAGGACGTCAGAGGACAAGTTTAGTTCTTGCTCTGAGAAAACATCATCTGTATGAGTTTGCAAGGGTTTCCATAATAAAATAACAAAGATTGGATGGCATAAGCAACAGAAATTTATTTTCTCACAGTTTTAGAGGCTAGAAGCCCAAGATCAAAGTACCCTCAGGGTTGTTTTCTGGTGAGGGCTCTCTTCCTGGCTTGCTGACGGCTGCCTTCTTGTTGTATCCTCATATGGCCTTTCCTCTGTGCACACCTGCTAGACAGAGCTCTCTTTCTCTTCTAAGGACACCAATACTATCCTATCAGGGAGCATGCCCCACCCTCCAACCTCATTTAACTGTAATTGCCTCCTTAAAGGCCCATCTCCAAATACAGACCTCCAAATTGGGGAGTAGGGCTTTAACGTGTGAATTTTGGGGGACATAATCCTGTTCATAACACTATCTAACCAAAGAACCAGAAAAATAGAAGATCAAGGGACACCTAGTTCAAGTTTTTAGGTGAACCATAACCTACATAAGTTAACATAAAAACATTTCTGAGAGAAAAAAAAGAATACTATGTTGGTACTCTAACTCAAAGATCTTGGACTGAGAATCAGGTTGTTTGTGTTCTAATCTTCCTTCTGCAGTGAAATTGCAGTTTAGGCAAATCAATTTCTCAAGTCATTCTGCCTCTCTGTGACTGAATCAAATGAAGCCTAATGATGCTTATAAAGTTGTTTTAAGACATAAAAGAGCTCTACAAGGATAAGATGCTGTCATTTTCATCACTGGCTTTCAGCTAAAAGCTCAGCCTGATATATTTTTACCATTTCAGGGAAGGCAATCTTCCTCTCCAGTTCAAGTATGTAGCATAATATCAAAGAATATTGATGTTAAAATGTGGACTTCATGATCAACATATTGATTAGACACTATTTTGAATATGTTAAGAGAGAAAGCTTCAACCTACACATCCCTGTCAACCATCAACCAACCCCAATCATAAACATCTTTAGCAGAAGACTGAATTCTCCTTTTCTTGAAATTCCATAGTGTGTGTTGCTTTATTCCAATTACACGATGTCTTAACATGAAACTGTAATGCGATTTTCATTCAGTTCTTAATTTCAGATAGCCAGAATATATTTCTTTATAACCAATCGAGAAATGTGACTATAATGAAGTCAGCATTACTTGGTAAAAAGATTTAAAACAAAATGCTCTTTCTCTACTAGTCGAACTAAAACTTGTCTGCATAGAGGACATCTGTAACGTAAAGGAGGTCAGGGGCATGCAATGAATCAATTCAGGAGTCTTCACAAGCGCAATCATTCTTTTCTACTAAACTAAAATTGTTAAGATCCTTTTCATTTTGAACATAATCACTTTTATAGTTTCCAAGTACAGGAATCTTTAAAATCTATAGCTAGAGATGTGTAGATAAGAATAATATATTCAATGAACTTCTTTTTCATGGGGTGTAATCTGTATAATTGTTTAACACAAGGAAAACCACAATAAAGAAATCATGCCCATTCTCTGGGGAAACAGAATAAAAGCACACAGGGTCAAATATGCAGGTTCTGTGTGTAAATAGCACTGATGAAGTGCATATCTTGCACATTTTACCTTTACGTGCTTCCTTCTGTGGGAGAATAACAAACTCCCTGCAGGTCTATAGTAGTGACAATGATTAAAACTTGGGATAAAGCAGAAGAGGATCTGAAATTGTTAGAAAAACTCTCTGATCCCCAATCTGTTTGCTCTACTGATTGAAAGATACCAGATTTACCAACAGCTGAAACTGATGCTGGGCTTGAACACAGGGGAGAATCAAGCAGCAAAACTCAGCTTTTTCTTTCTTGTGCCCCTTCTAGTAGAGACAGTCCATAAATATTTACTGAAGGAACGAATGAATCACACAGACGGAGCACAGTTGGGCAAGCCAGTCTCACACGTCTTCCGCTGGGACGAGGACGAAATATTTATAAGTCGTGATCAATAAAATCTTCCCTACCTGCTACCTTTCTCCCTTCTACCCCATCACGACACAAAAACCTGCTCCCAGTTCCTCTGCTTGTACCACCTACAAGGTTTTCCTAGTTATCCCATGCTACTTCCCTGGGGAAGCTTTCTTGGCCACCAAAGGAAAGAATAAGGCAGGAGTTCTCATTGACACCAATGGGACCAATTGTTTTCTCCCATCACTGCTGTGGTTACCACCCCAACCCTGACTGCTGCCTTAAAATACACGCATTTTGGTAAGGGTGAGAGAACTCCGTTCTACAAACTGCTTATAGACCAGACACATGAAATGTGCACAGTTTTACCACACTCTCTGAGAATAACATAATATGCCATGAAGATCTTCAAAGCCCACACTATTTTATTTTCCTTCTAGTTAATGATGCCTTGGGCTTTAGGGCCACAGATCTCTCTTTTATTTTGCTAGTTCAGTTTAGTTTCCACCTCAGGCCCTAGCTGAGATATAAAGGTATGCAAGTAGAGCTGTGGAGAAATTGTGCTGTGTGTTCTACAAGAAAGGGTCACATTTGGCTTTTGGTTGCAAATATCCTATTTACTTCCAACTGAAACTCAATAATACAGCATTCTGTTAATTCTATCCACATGAACTCACCGACCGCCTCTTATCTATGTCAGAAATACAAAGTCCTCCTCAGTTCCTCTGAAACTAATTTTTTCATCTCGATTAGCACATCTAGGAGTCTTCCTCCTTCAATCATGTCCTCCTTTGTGTCTTGGTTTTGATGATTTTTCTCATCAGTCCTTTCCTTCCACTCTCAATCACATCAGACTGGCATCTCTTCATCTTTCTTCTTTCTTTTTGTGTTTGAAACCACAAGTGTTTTTAGGATTCCAAGTTGATTGAACTCTACTCCATACATACTCCAAAATTTTCTTACCAAATTGTATTTCTATTCTTTTTTTATGGCTGAGTAATATTCTCTTGCATATATACACTACATTTTTGTTATCCATTCATCCATTGATGGACACTTAGGTTACTTCCATATCTTTGCTATTGTGAACAGTGCTGCAATAAACATGGGAGTACAGATATCTCTTCAATATACTGATTTCTTTTCTTTTGCATGTATACCCAGCAGTGAGATTGCTGGATCCTATGATAGTTCTAGTTTTAGTTTTTTGAGAAACTTCCATTCTATTTTCCATAATGGCTGTACTACTTTCCATTCCCACTAACACTGTTTGATCGTTTCCCCTTGCCCATATCCCCATCAGTATTTGTCCCCATACAAATTTATTTCTTGTGTGATTGACAACTTAATTACAATATTATGACCCTTTTCTAATCAGTCTGGGACAACTTAAAGTCTGCAGTGGCTTTAAGGAGATTTCCTTGAGAGCAATTAATTACTGTGTTGAGCCATCCTGCCCATTTTGAGATGAAGCTTATCTTGCACTGTGTGACCCTGGCCTTGCCAGTGCATTCCTAAAATGGAAGAACAGCAAGTGAGGCGTCAGCAGTCAATCACCCGCCTAGCATGCTCCCATGCTGAATGCTTTTCCTTTTAAGAACCATAATCAGATCTAATGATTTGCAAGATAGAAAAGAACACTCTCATTTATCTTGCAGAGTGCATCAAGGTATGTGGGAAGGATGGAGATATAAATGCAAATGACCTTGACAACAAGCTAAGAAAAACTAGTCAGAACTTTGAACTCAATGATGTTTAAGAAAGATTCATGGGTTAAGTTGTACATTAGAAGTTTTTTGAAGTAAAGATATACAAAATAGAGTCTTAAGTCACTCCAAGGTCAATGGAGTGAGATACTTACTGAACATGAGTTAAAATTGTTTTTTTTTCTGATCATGCACATTAAGATGTGATGAATGAAAAGTGTGCTGCATAGCATATGAGAGTTGAAAGGTAAGTCCAAGACACCCCCTTTGATTGGACCCTTTATTGGTACACTTAATGATAAGTGACAGAACCGCAACTCAAACTTGCTTAAAGAAAAAGGAAATTTTAGGTTTCATAAAATTAAGAAGTCTTTAGACTGGCACTAGTTTCAGGCACGAGTATATCCAAGGATTCACAAGATGCCATTAGGAGCATGTTTTTCTCCCTGCACCTCAGGTCTACCTGTCTTTCTTGTCTTTATGCTACATTCTTGTGCAAACATGTTACCAGCATGCCTCCCTTGAACTCAGGGCTCCTGAACCTAAATTTCTCTACATCCAAAGGGCTCTGATGGGCCCATCTTGGGTCCCATGCCACTTCCTGGACTAAATAGTGTGTCTACAAGATGGAATATTCTGTGTGATGGCAGGCAGGCTCACCTGATGAGAAGTTCTACTAGAATTAGGGGGAATAGGGAAAGGTGCTAGGCAGACTGAAACAAAAAGGAAGGGGACCAGAGGAAACATTTCCTACAGATCTGCATGTAGGGATCTGAACAAGACATAAGTCATCTACGTGGTTTATAGGACTGACAATGAGTGAGAATTAAGTGGAACCTTTTAGGTTCTGAGATCTCTGTCAACGATTGGACAAAGATGAAATATGAAGTAGGTTTTTAGTTTTTGCATAAAACAAATGCAATTGGTTATACAATATTTGGGGGGAAAGAATGATAAAAGTCAAAAGAATAAAATAAAAATATGTAATCTAACCACCATAAATGTGTTTGGCAAATTTTTCTTGCATTGTATACAAATATGTGTTTATGAATCAGAATTATTCAGTATCTATACTGTATTTTTGTTTAAAATATTGAGAACATTTTGGCATATGATTAAAGCAGTCTACAAAAGTTACAAAAGTTTTAATGGCTAAATAACAGCTCATCTAATGGATGTGTCGTAGTCCATAATCAATGTCTGTTTTACATATTTAAGTTTCCCATTTTTTACTTTCATAGGTAATATTAAAATAAATATTTTGACAGCACATCTCGTCATTTTCTGAAAATTGAATCCAACTAGTTAAATTACTGAGTCATAGATATGAACATATAAAAGATTTTGGTGTGTGTTGTAGCATTTCTATCCATAATATTACTATTTTTACCAGCAATATGTGGAACGATCCTTACTGTTTCCCAAAAATGATGATTTTTCAGCTATTATATTGTGAGATATATGAAGCAAGCATTCTTGTTTCCCCCACAATATCTACTCTTAAAATCACCTAGTAAACATTTATTAAATTTTAAAGAATGGGCCATAGCAAGTATATGTTTTTAATTCTGCATTACAAAGCCAAAAGAGAGAGTCTGTGTTAATGAAGTAAATCTCTGCTTATTTTAATATCAGTAACACTCATTGTTGAGGATGTAGAGAAATGACTCTTCTATAAAAGCATAGTATTTCATCTGGCAATTGAAGAGATGTACATCTTAACCCCAAAATTATTTATTTGGAATTATATCCAAGGAGATGTTTGATCAAATACACACAAATATATTTGATATTTATCAATGAGATCTTTATAGTATCAGAAATCTTAAAGTTATTTCATTACCCATCTCTATTTATTTAAAATAGATCCTAGATATTCATTCAGTGGATGCAATACAGCCATTATAAAGGAATGCCTTGAGTTAAAGTTGGCTGTATTGAAATCTTGTTCCACCCCAGCCCACCAAATACCAGCCTTGTGCCCTTGCACAAATATCTTGTCTGTGACTGAGTTCCGTAAAATTTATTTTGAGCATTAAGTTGGATTTTACATAGAAAAACCTTACCAAGTTCTAATGTCAAAATTTTTATAATTTTTATTAAATGGAAAAAATGTTGATGTGAACAAGCTATCAAATAGCATGGCTAAGAATATCCCATTTACATAAAATTATATATGTGTATGTCTGCATAGAGATCCAGAATAACATTAATCAAAATATGAATTGGATTATTTCTCATTTGGAGAACATTGGGTGGTTTTTGCTTTCCTCTTTATATTTTTCTCTATTGCTTGAATTTTCTCTATAAGTATTTATTATCTGTATGATCATAAAAAAGTTAATAATTGCATTTACTTTTTAAAAAAGTCAAATTATGTAAGAACTTCTTTAGAAAGGTCTGTACTTCATAGGTGACTTTCCCAAAGCCATGATGCCAGATTGCTTCAGGATAGCATGAGAACAAGGTCTACTAATTTTTGTTCATATATTTTTGTTTTACTAATTTTTGTTCAAGTGCCTGCTATCAGCTAAAATGATCCTGGGCAAAAGGAACCAGCAATGAGCTTAGGCTACAACAATTAGAAAATTCCAGGCTTTGGCTGGGTGCGGCGGCTCATGCCTGTAATCCTGGCAGTTTGGGAGGCCAAGGCGGGTAGATCACGAGGTCAGGAGATCCAGACCATCCTGGCTAACATGGTGAAACCCTGTCTCTACTAAAAATACAAAAACATTTGGCTGGGCATGGTGGTGGGCGCCTGAAGTCCCAGCTACTCAGGAGGCTGAGGCAGCAGAATGGCGTGAACCCGAGAGGCGGAGCTTGCAGTGAGCCGAGATCGCACCACTGCACTCCAGCCCGGGGGACACAGCGAGACTCCGTCTCAAAAATAAAAAATAAAAATAATAATAATAAATAAAATAAATTAAAAAAAATTTCCAGGCTTTGAAGAAAAAGGCTAGAAGTTCTGCCACAATTAGCTGTGTGACCTTGGGCAAACCTCATGATCTCCCAGATCCTGTCTTTTATTTTCTTTTTATTTCCAATTATAAAATAATTATCTGAAACCTTCTGTACTTTTAAGAACATAAAATGATCCGAAAACTGATGTATTTATTTATTTAGTTGCTAGTAGGTGGTTTTAACCAAATCTCAAAATACTAGCCTTGGACTAAGTATTTATTCAGAGATAAGTGGAGGAATTAGGTGGTTGACGTGAATCTTCAAAGGATGAATTTAGTTAAAAAAAAAAAAAGGAAATTAGTCTTTAAAATTATAGAGAATTTATGATCTGGAAAGTTTGTTCAAGCTCAAGATATAAATAGATTTCATAAAGTTTCAGATAAGTATGCCATAGGTTACTGAGATTTTATTGCTATAACTCTTAAATTTGAATCATGAGAGGCAATCATCGTCCCTTAACACCAAGATCAAGAGCCAGAATAAAAGGGGATGAAATGTGTGCAAACACGAGCTGTCCATTTTGTGCTACACAATAGCTGAGTATGTGTTGATTCTTTAATAAGTTCGAATGACGACATCAAAAATATACACAGCCTATGATAATCACAGCCCCGAACTTGGATATTTCTCTAATTATTTTTCCTTTTCTCATTTTACTACAAAAATACTAAGAAAAATACATCCTCTTAGGTACCTGCATTATACTAGTTACTATGCTTAGGGGTTACCTGTATTACCTCATTTAATCCTTACACTTGACTGCTGGGATGATGTTATTCCTATTTACTTACAGGAGAAAATCAAGACCAGAGAGGTTAAGTGCATATACAAATCCACGGTTGGAAGCAATCGAGCTGGAATCTACACACAGGTTCTTCTGATTAGCAATATGTCATCCACAGTTCCTGACATATTGAGCTATTGCTATGTAATGAAGGTCACAGTGACTACTGTGGAGCATGTGAGAAAATATAAAATTACTTATCTAACTGATGAGTCTAATGAACACCAGACGATGTTCTCTACAATCGGTTTCTTTGATACAGATACGTAACTGACTTCCTTTTTAATTGAACAGAAGGAACATATTATTGACTCACATAACAAGGGATACTTTCAGAATGTATAGTAATTTGTTCTGTGCAAGAAAACCTGTTTGGGGCCACACTTTTTTTCTGAAGGGTAACC
The DNA here is from genome assembly GCF_000001405.40 of Homo sapiens. Classification (NCBI taxonomy): domain Eukaryota; kingdom Metazoa; phylum Chordata; class Mammalia; order Primates; family Hominidae; genus Homo; species Homo sapiens. Next base: position 147,752,306 of record NC_000007.14, read on the forward strand.
TTCAAGGTATTTTCCCTGAACCATTTTTTTTCTCTACAGATTATAGAGGATCTGAAAGACTAAGATAAAGCACTCCCATTAGAAGCTGTGATGACAGACGAACGAGTTGAATAGTGACAGGCAGTGTTGGGTCCTTTTCCTATTTCTTTCATGAAAATGGAACCGTCGTTCATTCAACCAGGAGCCTGGTCAATACGGTGAGCTCCTGTGTGTGTACAGGAAGGGGCCTTTGATAATTGCATAAGGCAGACAATTCATCTGGAAGCTCTAGAAAATAAGAGGTGGAAAAATGAGCTCTCAATGTCCACCTGGGTTTTGAAAAGGTAGATATTTGAAGTTGTGGCAGGCTGCTTTGTAATTAAACTGGTCGCTGAGGTCAGTTTTCATAGCAGTCCAATTCCAGATGTGATCATAGCGTCATGAGCCATGCCTTTATAAATGTTACATTTCCTGGGATCAAATTATTTGCCAGAATTTACTTCCTAATTTAAAGAGTTTAAATGCCACATTATTTTGAATAGTATTTTGCTATACTGGTGTTTTTGTGTCATGGAAAACAGTCAGAGGGCATGGCATGGAATAGCAAAAAAAGGAAAACCTCCTTCCAATTTCTGTAGAGCAGAATTCACTGCATTCGTATCCTGCTGTCCAGTTTTGATTCAACTGGACCAATTTCTCTTTTAGCTACTATGATAAATGTAGTGTTTACTGAAAAAAGCTGATCCTATTTTCTACTCTCTTATATACCTATCTTGAAGCGTCAGAATGCTCCTGTTATCTGGAAACATAATCCATTATACATAGAGGTTCTTTCTCTTCTGTGATTTGAACCTAGTCTTTAATTTATTTCTATTTTGAACTGAATGTAAAGCTGATTACCCATCAGAGAAGAAGACTGGCATAATCAAGTAAGACAAGGGCAGGCTCCTTGGAATTTTTCTTGGATAGCTTTTCTAATAGACTGAAACTAATTCTGAGACTCTACCTGTCACTATGCACAGCGCCTAATTCCCATGCAGCTGAATTAGTTTGTGTGAAATACTCTCTTTCTGAGGCCCTAGTCACTTAGAATTTATCTCAGCTCTGAAGCAATGACTGTTAATAACCTGAATAATTGTGGAGGCATTCCCCTGTACTAAAAATTATACGCAGACTAAATCACCACAACTCGATTATGATGGATGCAATTAAAATAAATTATGTAAATGTACTATAAGAATAATTAGAACTAGAAATGTTGATGAGTTAATTGCCATGTCTATGTACTTATGACACAGAAATCGAAGAAATTTGGAAAAAATTTAGATTATCTTAAAGATAAAACAGATCAAAAAGCATGAAAAATAATTCGGTAATGGGGACAAGAGAAGTCTCTTCTTGACATTCACTCAGGACTTTGCAAAAGAGATGAAGGTCGCACAATTCACTACATGGAATTTAGGGACTTGACAACCTGAAGGCTGAGTGACAAAGAGGCTTCGTACAAACTAAAGGATGAATTAGGAGACAGAAGTGGCTTTACTGCTCAATAATTAGAACTTTGAGGGAAATCTAAGGTCAGAAAGTAATGGTTAACGTGGATTAATATATATTCAAAAAACAAACTTTTAAAAGAATAGGAAACATAACATCAGTGTGAACTCAGGCTTTTGTCCCTCACTTTTAAGCTGTGTCCGTTGTCTGAAAGCATTGGCAACCCTGCAGCCCTAAGTACCACTGCAGCCCTCGTTTCAGCTCTAAATACAATACTGAGGCAAATGGTGTCATCTAAAAAAAATAAAAATAAAAGACCTAGAAGCCAGATTAAAGAGGCTCCTGCAGACACAGGATGAGACAAATTGAAAATCAAAAAGAATAATGGCTGCAACTGATTAAAACAAATTATCGCTCCATCATTTCATAATAACACTCAAAAAAGGTTTTAAAAATTTGGAGCAATGAAGCAAAATGTACTAGACACTTTTGGAAGCTGCTAAGGCACCAATTCATCATCATCTTAAACTTGATAGTTACAGGGAAGAGTAAGCTTGTATTCTGTCCTTTTAGTAGAAATTGTTCTTTGGACTAACCAAAAGAACTTAAGATATCAGTGAAGTTTTCAAACAGGAGAAATGGTAGAAATAGGAAAGCATCATTTTGTAACTTGCAGTGAAACAAATTTTTAAAAACAAATTAAAAGGTAAAGGTGTAGTTCTGTTACTGCTTTCAAGAAACAAGGGATATGTAAAAACTAATGCAATGAGGGAAACATTTTTGGATCCTGATTCAAACAAACTATTAAAAATATTGTTTAGACATTAGGGGATGTTTGAATATGAATCATGTATTAGATGAGAATATGGGTTTTTAAAACTAATTTTAGTAAAAGAAATAATGCATTGTATTACATAAGAAAAAAAATTTTAATTCATATTGAAGAATTTGAGTAAATAACTTGATATTTGAAGTTTTATTGAAGGTATCCCAGCCAAAATAAAATGGGAGCAGGGAGAATAGACAGGAATAAATGAAAAAAAATGGCAAAACAAATAATGTTTATGAGGCTTAGTGACGGATCCATGTGGACTATATTTTCAACTCTTTTGCATGCTTAGAAATTTTCGTAATAAAAAGTTTTTTAAAAATCAAAACACTGTTTAGGCATAAACACAGAGAGACAGACAATAGAAGGTAATAAATTAACGTCAATTGCCATTATCTATTGATTTTTATGTTCCCTGAGATCTTTACATAAAATTCAAGGTTGTAAACTCTAAATAGATGCCTACACATGTAGTAAATCGGGTGAAAAATGAGAAGTAGCAGGGAGTTGTGACCTCAGGCAGAAAAATTAACCCTGCTAACTTGGATGGTGACAGCTTAAGTGTATGAGTGATAAGAAGTGTCAGGGAGACTTTAGCATAGTGACTTGGGGCACTGATCTTCCTGGGCATCACCTCTGTAGGGGTGTCAGACATGAGGTAGATTTGAAGAACAAAAACAAAAAAGCATATTCCTAGATAATTTGTCACATTTCAAATGTTTACTGTTCGGTTCTGTTCTCAAAAGATCCACCAGCGTTAATAGCAGCCAGGCGCAGTGGCTCATGCCTGTAATCCCAGCACTTTGGGATGCCAAGGCAGGCGGATCACTTGAAGCCAGGAGTTTGAGACCAACCTGCTCAATATGGAAAACCCATGTCTACTGAAAATACAAAAATTAGCCAGGCATGATGGCACAAGTCTGTAGTCTCAGCTACTTGGAAGGCAGAGGCAGGAGAATTGCTGAACCCGAGAGGTGGAGGTTGCAGAGAGCCAAAATCATGCCACTGCACCCCAGCCTGGGCGACAGAGAGAGACCCTGTCTCAAAATAATAATTAATCATAATAATATTGATAGCAAACAGTAGTATTACGGTTAAAGCCAGGGCCAGCTTCGTAGCCATCCAGTTCGCACTGGTTCCTATGCTTAGAAAGATCCCACATCTGGTTTAGTGCTGTGCTGTTGCCATCTTGGGATTTCTAGAAATTTTAAACAAGGAGCCTCACGTTTTCATTTTCCACTCGACCCTTCAAATTATGTCAAAAGTCCTGGTTAGAGTGGCTTATATACAAAGTTTGTAGGGAGTAGATTTAGTGAACTTGATGAAGTTTTATAGTTCATTCTCCCGAAGGAGACTTGTTAGTCACTGAAGAGTCGCTTCACAGTATTTATTTTTCTTTTTAACTTCCCAACTCTTTTGGGGACAGCTAAGTAAACACAGCCTCTAGCAGTATGGTATTACTTGGGACAATATTAGCTTCATAACAATGACACACAAAAGCAACATCCAATTTCAAAACGTGATTGTTCTCTAGATCAAGAATTTTGTTCTGAAATATAATTTTCAGATATAGGTGTGCTTGCTGATAGTTCTAAAATATTGAGCTTGATATAAAGGCAAACCTGTCTAAACATATGGAATTCTTTTGGTAGTCTTAGCCATGCTAACAAATATGTTTTCTGACTACAGCTTTTTTTTCCCCACTGATAAAGGAATATTTTCAATAAGGAAATGATAGCAAGTCTTGTAGTTACTCTTTGGTATTTGCAAGGTAATAACCAGCTAACAGCAATGTATCAATGATTGCATTTGTGTAGACATCTTGACCAAAGTCACACAGACAGTAGCAGAAAGTCACTTGTCACTGTGCAGCTGGCACTCTTGCATAATAAGGATTAGGATAGCCGATGTTTTGTCACAGTGCCAAAGTTAATCATGGTCTAAGGACATTGAAAAAAAGCTGAGAAGTGAGTGAATTAATCATCATTAAAAACAGATTTAAAAAGTAATCCTGAAGGGGAACTTTTAAGAAAAAAATACTACTTTGAATAATACAAAGTTCTTTCAATATTAAAAAAATGAAAGATGCTTCTAGAAGGGACTCCTTCCTCTAAGACATCAGTATTATAACTGTAGGCAGGAAATCATTTTCTAGAAATTAACCTTTCAGGGCAATTCCATCAAATCATGAGTTTTTATTGCTCCAAAGAAATAAACCCTTCATCAGAATAGGATTCTGGATCCAAGTCTCTTTGGCATCCTCCCTTTAGTGTCTTTATCAGAGTTAGCTACAGAACATTAAAGTTCCAGAATACTTAAGTCAGTCTGTCTGTTAGACTTGGAGGGAGGAAGATGATTATTTAAATAGTCAGATAGTTGTAGCATGAAAACAAGTTATTAAACCTCTGGTTGAATAACCTCTGAAAAAATGCAAATGTTAACTTTGAGACCGATGGAATAATGTCACCCTACCTGTTTTTAATATTTGAGAATGGACACAAGCAAGGGGACATAAGGGTACCTTCCTCTTGCCCCCTGCAAACTGGCTGCCAAGGGACTTGTAATGATGGCAGCTGCTTTGGGACAGTCAGGCACCAATCCTCTGCCCAAATAGTCATTTGTTCTTCCACTCCTAACTCTTTGCTTGCCTGACATTTTCTGAGAGATTGCACTATTTTTCTTTTCTTATGTTTTTCACTCATTTTAAAGAACGCTTTTTTCTGAATAAGCTGTTTCCTTAAAGTATTCAAAGAAACAAAATTCCAGGCAGAAGGAAATTTGCATTCTGATGTTGTTTAGAGTTCCAAAGCCTGATGGATGGCTGCCTTCTCTGTAGCTCCTCCAAGTCATTTCAGATCTACAGGTGCTTCATGGCCTGTCCTAAACCTGTAAGACTTGAAGTCTTATAGGCTTGACTTGTACCTTAATTTCCACCTCCTTCCATGTAAATAAAATAAAAAACTAATGCCTACATTAGCACTGGATAATCATGAATTGTTGTTTTTGTTCTTTTTTTTTAACGTAAGCAAATTTAAATTTTCTACTCTTATTTCTCTCAGTTGGCTCTTGTGTTTCTAGACATACTCCATAGTTGGTTTCCTTAGAGCTTCAGGTAAAAATCTTAGCCTGGATCTTAATAATTATACCTGATGGACCAAGAGCTGGGTTCAGTCACATATTGTAAACAATCAAAAGCTAACTTATGAACATATGGCAAATGTAATTCTTTGATAAGAAACAAGACAGCAAGTTGCCGTCTTGATTACATAGATGTAATAGGATTATTGTCTTTAGCTATCTGTTCTTGAAGTACATACGTAGCACTTTATCAGGAAGGCCCACTGAAAAACAAACATGCAACTCTGGAAAGATAGATTTGCTTCAAATAATTAGGAAATAGAAAAACTGTGATGAAAGAAAAATAGGGAATTTATTTACACCTTCAAAGTCTCTTAGAATATGTCAAGTAAAATTGAAAACGAATCAAACACGGAAAAGAAGCAAAATTCTTCGCTGTAAGATTTCAGGAAATACCTAGCTGCTAAGATTCAGCAATTTAATTACAAAACTGGCACAAAGGCACAATTTAGTTGTGGTGAGGAAATTTAATTCTCCTAACATCAGCTAAAAGTCTGTTTCTCGAAAAATTGGGACACCTGTTAACTGTTTTACTTATCTCACCGAAAATGTATCTCTTAAAAGATTACTGATAATGTCACACTCTCTTTTCTTTAGTTCCAAGAAGTTCATGGCAGCCATCATGCCAGGCAATGAGAGGACATTCCTACTGCTTTCTCTCCCCTAAGCTCTGGTTTAGTTTCTGATGCCCTGAACATCAAGGAAGAGCCAAATATCCTGGCCAAAGCTAGTTCAGCTGTGACAGTTGGGGTAGGGAGAGGTGACGTAGTAAGGATCCTTGACCTTGGTTTTCAGTAAGTTAATTAAATATCTTATGACTGGACATGGTGGCTCAGGCCTGTAATACCAGCACTTTGGGAGGCTGAGGCAGGCAGATAGCTTGAGCTCAGGAGTTCTAGACCAGCCTGGGCAACATGGTGAAACCCCATCTCTACAAAAAAATACAAAAATTAGCTGGGCATGGTGGTGTATGACTGTGGGCCCAGCTACTTGCGGGGCTGAGGTGAGAGGATCACTTGAGCCCAGGAGGCAGAGATTGCAGTGAGCCCAGATTGCTCCACTGTACTCCAGCCTGGGTAACAGAGTGAGACACTGTCTCAAAAAATAAGTAAGTAAGTAAATAAATAAATAAAATTTTACTTCTAGCAGCCATGGGCATTTGCTTCAGGTTATTCTGAAGAACAATGCTATTCTTTTTCTTTAGATTTCCTTCCAGAAAGGAATTCTTCTTAGTTTCCCGTTCAATCTCTCAAGGTAATAAGGTATATTTTATTACCTTATTTATTGTTTTCTATATAATAAGCTTTTCATGAAGGCTTAAAGAGAAAGTACAAATTATTATTGTTTTTCTTTGACATTTACATCCACTTACTGTTCCTAAGGACAATTCAGTCCCTCCTCCCATGCGTAAACCTTTCTATCTGATTAGATCCAGGTTGTTACTGATAGACATAAAATTATTTTATAAAAAGAAATTATGTTCAATGTAAAAATAGTAATCCATTTTAAATTCCCTTCATTTCTGCAGCCTGTTTCTCCAGACAACTCAAAATTGTCTGAATCCCATAAGACAGTTTCTCTGAGCATATTGTTTAATGAGAGAAACTTTAGACATTCTGAATAAAACAAGGGAATTACTGATGTCCCAATGCTCTTTGCAATGAGTACCTCCGGTTTACCATTGTGGAGGAAATATTGCATTGACTTTCTACCAAAATCCATGTCTTATCTGGAAGAATGCCTACTATTCATTGAAAATCATTTCCAGACCTCAGATAACACAAGGAACCAGACTGCCATATCAGACTCACAAAAATCAGAGCTCTTACAAAGTATCCAGCTTTCCTAATAATTCAAAGGATGCAGATGATGATAAAGGCAATTCACAAAAATGTCTGCGATCACTAGTGCAGCTCCTCACATCCTGTGCCACACGAGGATGTGGGCTGGTCCAGATTTAATGTTTGAGGTTTCTAAGTGATGCATGTAGGCCATCGTTTCCACAAGGAAGCCATTGTGGTTACGAAACAGCTCCATTTGTTTGCTCCATAATTATATCTTTGACCTAACATTTTCCACTGGGCCATATCCCACAACCCCAGGAGTTCTTCATTCATTTGCTGTAAGCAACCTAGACAGACTAGATACACCCCGTAAAAAGGATGCCACAGAAAAGGGTCTCATTACCTTTCTGCTAGTAAATACCTTCAGGAGGCCTGATTAGTATGTTTCCAAGGATTCTTTACTGGGTCATTTCTCTCTCTCTCTTCCTCTCCCTTCTCTTCTTGGACGTCCTCAGAGAAGACACGATGGGTTACTAAATAAGCCCAAACCCTTTCCTTCTCAAGAACCATTTCTATAGCAAATGTTATTACATTATGACCTTTTTTAAAAATGTGTGTGCCCCTCTCCATATGATGATTTATCATTTGTAACACACTCAGAGTGCACAAACCATCAGAAATCCTTATCTACTATGGTAAAATTTGAGCTTCACGGGAAAAAAAAAAAAGAATTGAAGAACTTCCAAAGAGTTTTCCCCTCGTCTTTGTGACTGGTTGCTTTTACTACCCTAGGAATTAAATGTGATTTTTCCCTTTAAACGTCAGATTTGGGAGTATTGCTCCCTCTTCTGCTCTCAGCATTCTTACTCAATGATTAGTCTTCAACATTCTCACATACTCTCAGCCACTTTGAGTAAACGAAGATACATCATTCAGGAGTGAGAATTAATTGTAAACAAAATATTTAGATTTAGGAAGATTAAACATTTTTACCAGAGTTATACATTACAGTTTAGAACATTAATAAATCATTGTGGCTGAGTTTTACAACTGTTTCAGTTTCATGTCAAGCCATGTAGATAATTTTTCCTGGCCTTCTGCTCCTTAGAATGACCAAGTCCTTTGAGGCTGAATCTCAAGGCAAATGGAGAAATTTCTTGGTTGAAGTCAAACCAGCTGACTTAGGTAGTTCTTGTTCATCAATCCATTAATTCAACAAGTTGCCATTAAACCTTGTGCTCTGTGGACAGTATTATCTTAGATTTTGGGAATACTGTAGGAAGCAAGGCAATCATGGTTCTGGTCCTCATGATTCTGACCTCTTTATAAAGACCTATAGAAGAAATCAAGAAAACAAATTCAACTAAAGTAATTACAAATTGTGATAAGCCAAAGGATCTTTGAACTGGGCTTTTTATAGCAGTTATATTCTTATGAGGTTATTCAACAAAGATAACTAGCACACAGAAGAAGATTGCATTATGGATTCCGGCTGCTGGCATTATAGTATATGGCTTAGATTAATTTTCATGAGATTCCCAAAGAATGAAATTAATCATCCAGTACCAGAGAAAATCAATAAACTTCAAGCTGCTTTGAAAATACTAACATAAGAAGGTTAATACCTTAATTGTAAAGTTATCTGAAATGGTATTAATGACAAATGTTTTGTCTCTTAGAATACACATTGGAAACTTCCTGAATGCTGCTGAAACTGACGTGAATTTTTTCCTTTGCATAATTTAATCTTTAGATAGTAGATTCCAATCAAGATTTTCTGTTCCAGGTACATCTTTAAGCCTAATCACTTTCCTCTTTCCTGCTTTTCTCTTCCCAACTCCAAGCACATGCCTGTGCTTATAAAAAATGACATTCAAGTTCTGTTTTGAATAGAGTAAGGCTTTAGAGGTTTCCTTCAAAACAGAAAGCCCCGAAGTGCCTGTTTCTGTATATTCCTCCTGTACATCCTCCTGTGCTTCAACAATCACCATTTTAAGTACCTGCCATTAATTCATCCAACCCTTAGGTATCAAGCCCCAGTGCTGTAGAAGGCTCAAACTAGGTGGTTGGGGGATTATTGTCACAGATGCTGTACTCGAGGAGGATATAACTTCATGGGGAATATATAAATAATAATAGCACCATAAGTTATATCTTATCAGGCATTGAGCTGTAAGATTGGAGAGGATGGTAATAATTGTGTATATTCAAAGTAACACCTGAAGATCTTTTAATTAATCCACAAAGCACAGAATATACAGTTCTACTCACAGATTAATGATGATCTAATGAATCCATTAAGGCTAGATTTTCCTCTGTCGCTGGAACAAAGAACAGATTCTTCAGTCAAGCACCAAATAGAGTGGGTGGCTATGTTTATGGGCTATGGCATATGAAAAAAAATACATGCATGTTAATGCAAAAGTCAGTCTTAGTATATTAATACAGTATTAGTATATTCATATACTAACTCCATGAGAGACACAGGGAGCTACGATGAAGACAAAAGTAAACTTAGAATTTCCATCATAGTCTCACTAATATTTGAAGTGTATATACTCACTGAGTAGATCATGAACACATTTATTTTTCTCTAATATGTTTCTCTCTCTCTCTCTCTCTGTCTCACACACACACACACACACACACACACACACACCATTCGGGTCAACAGAAACAACATAAGAAAAGTTTCAGAAAGCATAAATTAAGTGACATCAATGGAGCAAGGAATATATGCAATTAGTAATAGAAAATAGTAACAAAGTATAGCTGAAAATTCATATAGAAGACCATGAATATTAAGCAAAATTTGGACTATATTCAGTAGTTTATGTAAAGCCACTGAAGATTTTTGAAACAGATAGTGACATTATGAGTTTGCTGAAAGGCAAACAGGATGAGTTCAGTTGTAAGCCTACTGAATCTGAGCTGCTGCGGAGGCAATTAGATGCACTCATATCTAGCTACTGGGAAGTCCTAACTAGAGATGAAGGCTGATGAGCCATTTCCAGATGCTTTTTTTTTTCAATCTCTTCAGTGCCTAGAACAGTTCCAGGCAATTAATTAACTGGAATTAACTGTTAATTAACTGTGCTCAGTAATTAACTACTGAATTAATAGTATTTATGATATTAAGGATATGATGCATACATAACTAAACACTGAATGGAAGAATAGATGGATGTATAAGTGGGGGGAGGGAGGGAGGGAGGAAGGAAGGAGGAAGGAAGAAAAGGAAGGAAGGAAGGGGAAGGGGAAGAGGAGGAAGGGAAGGAAGGGAAGGAAAGGAAGAAGGAAGTTTGCCTCTTGAATTTTTCTAGTCTGAACCTTTCTACTAAATATCTATTGTGTTGTTCGACAGTTATTTGTAAACATGAGGTCAGATTCTGGGCAACTTTAGGCATCTCAAAAGTTTGTTGTATGTGCAATCAAGAGTAAAGATCCGGCTGGGTGCGATGGCTCATGCCTGTAATCCTAGCATTTTGGGAGGCCAATGTGAGCAGATCACCTGAAGTCGGGAGTTCGAGACCAGCCTGACTAACATGGAGAAGCCCCCGTCTCTACTAAAAATACAAAATTAGCCAAGCATGGAGGCGCATGCCTGTAATCCCAGCTACTCGGGAGGCTGAGACAGGAGAATCACTTGAACCCGGGAGGCGGAGGTTGTGGTGAGCCAAGATCATGCCATTGCACTCCAGCCTGGGCAACAAGAGCAGAAACTCAGTCAAAAAAAAAAAAAGAAAAAAAAAAAGAATAAAGATCCATGAGCAGCCAATGATTGCAGCTGTGATTGAATCACTTTAGTTATGAGATGCAGGCTGTTTGGTGGTGAAAGCTGTGGTGTTGGGAGAAATGAGAGGGAGAATACGATACTTTACAAATTTTTCTTTTTTTTTTTTTGGAGACGGAAGTGGCAGTAGGAATTAGAAGAGCATCTTAGCAGGGCATGCCTTCTGACAGTTGCAAAGAAGAGAAGCAGCTAAAAGAAGACTAAAGGTAGAACAGCTCTCCTCTCTGGGGAGGCAAAGAGCCGTTAAAAGTTGTCAGTCACTTCTAAGGCTAGCACTGTGTTTGTGTTTCTCTGAAGACTTATTACATATGGCAAGTTCTACGAACTGGAAAGGGGGTCAGAAAGGCATTGACTATAAGGGCAAGCCAAGCCCTTCTTGCTTCAGTAGTTTCCTGGGGCATGACTGTTTTGAGACAGCTGAACACTTCAGTCTTCACTCTCACTACCCAACACAGAGCAGCAGTGTGGGGAGCTAAGTCAAGTTGAGAAGAATATTCTTGCTTGCTGGACTGAGAGCACAAGCCTCAAAACAGAGTTCAGAGGATGTTAGCAAGTATCTGGCATCCCTGCCTTCTAACCTGCAGGCTCATCTTGCTGATAAGGTGCGTGCCATTCCAGTTCCTGGGATCAGTCCAGTGCTGAGTCAAAACAGAAGGAGCTCAAATTTACTCTTGGTTGCACCCTGACACTGTGATTTCTGGGTTCCAGCCTTTATTCTGTGGCCGTACCTTATACTTTACCTTTGCTGTGTCCATAGCTTTTTCCCTTGTTCTCAAATCTCTATCTCGTGTATTCCAACCCTGTTTGCTATGGGTTATTTTCTTAGGTACTTGGTGTCTTGCCCTACACCATAGCTCACAGGTGGTTCTTGGCACCTGCCATCTCAGCCACCAGAGCCCAGCCTCTACAGTGTAGAGTCCCTCCATCTAGGAGGGTCAACTGCTCCTCAGTGGCCCTTTTATTTGGCTATTCTATTACTCCAACTAAAACTCTCCTGCTCAGCTACACCTCATGTCTAATTTTGCTTCCACTCCAAATACCTAATTTTCAGCTATAAGCTGAAAGCACACTCCAAATACCTAATTTCACTCTTGAGGCATTTTCAATCCTCCCTGATTTTATCTTCTCTGTTATCACCTGGATTCCCAGATTGACATGGAGAAAGCTATGATATGGCTCCCTCCTATTTCCTAGTGGAAGGCAAAGGGTGCCTGAATCACAAAGTTATGTTAACCTTAAAATTGAACATAGAATTGTCTACATAAATTCAAAAGGTTGAATGTAGGAAAAAAAATGGTGAGTCAATATAATCTTGGTTTATCTCTGTAATATACCATTAAAACTCACTGAGAAAGATCACTAGTTAAACATATTGTAAATTCTGGAAACAAAAGCTGCTGAGTTCTGCTGAAATAGCCCAAGAGTAAATCACAACACCTACAAGATGTTTTATGACTAAGTTAATTTTTTTAAAAATCAGAAGTCATCATATCTCTGCTTGGTGCTAACTAAAAAGCCAGAAGTTTTGGTCAGAACAAATGTAGTTCACAAACACTAAGGTTTTGGTTGTTCAAAATAAATCACAACACCAGAAACTTAGAAATAATAAATATAAACATAGAGCCCTCTTTTGTGGCTTTTCTAAACAACTTATTTCTGATAACTTCATAATGCTGCTGAAGCTGGTCGAATTTAATTATGCTTGTAAAGTCTACTCATTTGTACATGGGTAAGTCAAACATTCTGGTTTTAAACAGAGTAAGAATAGTTTTCTAAAATATGTAGTCAGTCATGTCAAACCTCTGGCTAAAGTACTGTTATTTTGGTGCACATATTCTGAGTTTCCATGAAACAAAACATTCAACACCTATGATATTTTATCATACTCAGCAGTTCAAAAGTGCCATTCATTTCTGAAGAGCTTGCAGAGTATAAGCTCCATGAGAGAGTGGAGAGAGTGCTTCAAGATATATTCTCTCTGTACCCCTACCAGTGCCCATCTAGAAGACATTCAGTAATCACATGGTGAATAAATACATGGAAATAAAGTTTCATATCAATTAATCATTGGGCAAGAGAATGTTTTCTGGCTGCTTTGTCCATTGTTAAATCTACTATGAGAAATTTAAAGGTAACAATTAAGATGAGACCCAGAAAAGCACTCAGTGTCATGAGTCAGCAGAGGAATGTTTTTGAAAACCACAGTGATATACCATGATGCATCCCAGAATGCCTAAAATTAAACATATCAACAGCAGCAAGTGCTGGCCAGGGTGAGAAATAGCGAGTTATACATCGCCGTTTGGGATGTAAAATGTTATGAACACTTTGAGAAACCATTTATGATTGCGTATAAAGTAAAAAAAACATGTGGTTATCATTATGATACATCTATTTTATTTTCAGGTGTTTACCCAAAAGAAATGAAGACATATAGCCACATAAGAACTTGCTTAATTTGAAATATCTCCTAATTATAACTAATTCAGCAGTTTATTCTAAATCAACATGGAAATGAATAAACAAGGGATGATATACTCGTACAATGGAATACTACCCAGCCAAAAAAGGGAGGAAAGAACAAACTGCTGACATTGGTTACAATATGGATGAATCTCTACAACACCATGAATGAAAGAAGCAAACTCAATGTAGTTGACACTACGATTTTATTTATATGAAATTCTAGAACAAGTGAACCTCATCTATAGCGATGGAAATGAGATCGGTGGTAGGCTGGGGCCAAGGGTAGACAGAATTGACCACAAAGAGGCACAGGAAGTTTTTGGGGTTGATGGCAATATTAAATGTCTTGATTGAGGAGGTGACACAGATGTATGCATTTATCAAAACTAATTGAACTGTACACTTTAAATGAGTATCTCTTATGGTATGTAAATTACACTTCAATAAAGCTGATTATACACTAAATAAAACTAAGACAAATTTGGAAAGTTGGTACCTATGTTTATAATTATAGACTTTTAAAATATATTCTATTATGAATAATGCTTTTAGCCTATGGAATCAATTCTTCATAAAAACTCATTACATAATTTTTTGATATTGCTTGTAAAATCATTCCTTTAGACCTATTGAGTAATAACGGTGTAGGTGAAGTAGAAGAAAGGTTATATGTTAACAAGATGTGTCCAGGTTGATCAGTATCATGATTTATAGTCCTCCTCTGGTATCCGTGAGGGAGAGGGAGAGAAGGGGGTAGATATTGAGTCTGATTCATTTATTGACATCATTGGAACTTTCTGGATTGTTTAGTGTGCCTATGGTCAGTCTTAATCCTAGCCTTAATCCTGAACTTTTCAAGTACTTGAAGCAATAAATTCTATTTTTGCTTAAGCTAATTCGTATTAGGTCTCTGTTCATTAATTCTTTTGTACAAAATTTCGAAGGAACGGAAAATTTAATGCATTAAACTACACATAAAGTTTGGTAGATATTTTCCCCCAAAATACTATATCTTGTTCTTTCTCCTGTATCCCTCATCTGTTCTAGGTAATCAACTAATAGTTTTTTATGAATAAGAATTAAATGTTTCTACTTTTTATTGAAAGATTTCAGATTACTGAAAATGTGACAAAAAATTTCTAAAATAAGCATAGATGTTCCTTCTATGAAAAAAGTACTGACAATTTATCTGTTGTTAAATCATCAATATATTGTACCAGATACCATTATTTACTCCCTATTGACTTGTTGAAGTTTAACTAAATTAACTATACTTAATCCATTTCTACCCTAAACATTTATTTGAAATCATTACTACATTTTAAAACAGTTGCTTGATACAAAAGTATTTTCTCCATATAAATAAGGGATACCTTTAAATTGTTTACATTTGTAAAGTACAATATGTAAACAGAATTTTGAATAAATTAAGAATATTTTCACTGTACTACCTAAAAGCAAACAAACAAACAAAACAAAACAAAACAAAAAACCTCAAACGCTTCTCAGACTTGCAGTTTGAGCTAAATAAACCTTCTTTATTTTGGTGTATCACTGACAGCTCTGAGTTGACTCCAGGACAATTAGAAAGAAATTTCCGTAATACATATAATTTCCTAAGGTACAAATTTTGAAGTAAATAATGGATGCCACAAATGTAAGTTGGTCACTTATTTCTTTTTTCTCTTGTCCATTATCTTCAGATGTGTAATCATTTGCAAATATATTTACTTTCAAGAAAAGCCCTTTTTATTTTACTGCTTATTATTACTGCCACTAAATAATATTATTGTTTATAGGGCTGTGTTCTATGCTTTAAATGCATTATTATACTTAATTTTCCAAACATACATGTAAGACAGATGGAGGAGATTGGGAGTACCGAGAGAATGAAAGGTGAGGCTGAATCCATAGTGTTTGCAGTATCCAGATAGGTGAAGTAAGAGGTGAAGTGTCTTCATGTGAGAAAGAATTGGTGTACTTTTCAGAGAAACAAAGGCTTTCTTACAGGAAAAATAAGCCACAGTTATAGTTGCATCATTTGTCAAGAGATTTCTAAAGAATCTTTCAAGATAGGAAATGAGAGAAAGAGAAAGAAAGGAGATTATGTTTTTTCTATGGGAGCCTGTAAATTGAACTGAAATGAACAGTCCATAAACAGAATGGAATATCTAGGGTCTGGATCCTAGTTCCAGGCAGCTTATCACCTGCTCCCAGGCAGCAGAAGAACCTGAACTATTCCAGTGAGGAAACAATGCTTTCACTCTTGACAGTCTTCCCTAAACAGTAGCAAAAACTTCCTTTCAGAAATTGACCATGATATCCTCAAAGTTTTGGTATCAAAAGGTTTTTTATCTAATGTCTCATCTGAAAAGGTTGAAGATCACAGAAAAATTTGAGTACAGAAATATGTTTACAATATTACTCATCAGAAAACATATCTATAGAGGCTAAAGGGGTTATGTTCTGCTGCTTTGCAAAACTCAGAGAAGCTGAGTGGGAAGGCAAAGAGTTCAGATCCTAAAATGAAAATTTGTAAATCGGGAGGAAGTGTATGGCTGAACAATTCATATTAAAATGTATCATGAGGCCAAACTTTTTAATAGTAATCTATTCATGTCCTATATGTAAACTCTTTACTATATTAGTGCTTAGAGCATAATTTGGGCTTAATGCATATAGATTGATTGAGTGACTGAAAAGATAAATGGGAAAAATAGAAGAATACTTTTTTATTCTCTTTCTGAACTTTTGTCATTAAAATGTGTATTTATTTCTTATGTTCCCACTGTCTTTAAAATAGCATTTCTTTAAAGATGATTCATTTGAGGCCACTTGTAATAGGACAAAATAAGCAATTGATGACTGATGTGCTTATTAATGGCCTCGGGTGTCACAGAAAACAACTGAGGCTTCAGGCAATTCATCTTTAATGGCATTAATGATACCTTTTGAAGGTGTGATTACTACTATAAACCAGAGTCAGTTGTTTATTTCAATTTATTCTTCAGTATGAGCTACAAAAAATTATGAACTGAAAACAATACTTTAGAAAGGCAGATACTCTTAAAATTAGCAAATAGCTTTGCTAAATTATAATATAGGTCATTACTGAAAAACACAGATGTAAAATTCCACTTCAAAGAAGGTACTTTATTTTCCTTTTCCTTCTAGTTTAATAGGAGAAATAAGAGATTCTTGCATCATTTTAACAAATCAAAATGCAATTATTCATAGAAGAAAAGCAACATGTTAATCTTTCTTAAATTTCTTAAATGAGTACTTTTGGAAATGAAAATGAAATTATATTAGCAAAAATTTAATTAGCACATGTGGTGAAAGATTTTATATGATTCAGTTAGTAGATTTGGTCAATTTATGCTAATTGGCAAGTAATACAATAGAATCAAATTATGTATCATCAGAATAAAGAGGAATAAACATTACAATAACATTTTTCAAGTATACTTTCCAAAAGGTCATTTTTAAAGAATTCGCCCCTTCTGAACAGCACATACTATGTTCGCTGGGAGCTGAAAGAGTGTGTCAGAATTATCTGGCACTTAAACACCAGCAAGGTGTCTGGAATAACTTTCTCACAAGAACACGGTGTAAATATCATTTTTCTTCTGTTTGATTATTTTGAAAAACATGCATACTTCATGTGAACTATAGTGAAGTGTCTGATTATCCAAAGAAAAAGCCAATATTTGAAAAGGTGTTATTCACAATAGAGCCAAAATAGAAACAGGGTAAAATTTTGATGGAATAAGTGGTAGGGATGAAGGAAGAGCACAGAGACTATGCTTGCATTTAAAGGCAAAGCATACAGTAATTATAACTATATTTCTAGGTGAAGAAGCTGTGGATGACTAGTATATTTTTCTCCACAAGATATCTATAAAGACCATTGTTTGGCTTGTATTAACATTTTTGTTTGCATAATCTGACTTGGGCAAGATATGTATAAGAAATGCTTAGCTATAAAACAATAGACTAACACTGGGAGAGTATGGGTGATGGAGTCCTCTGGGTTACACGGCATGCTGTGGCATAGTGTCCTCAGCTGCAAATTAGAGATGATGATCGTAACCAATTTCTAGGAGTGTTGAGATTAAATAAGCTAGTACACGTAAATCACTTAGTATAGACTCAGGAAATGTTAGCTCTTAATATTTTGACTCTACTGACTTTTTTCGTTTATTTTTCCTCAACAAAGAGGACATCTTTAAAGATTTGTTCATTGTCCTTATGTGTGTGTGTGTGAGAGACACGATATACACCTGTCCTTTTGAGCAAGAGTCAAATTCTCATTGAGGTCAAGGTGTAATTTGTAGTTCAATTCCTTATTCGTAACCATTGAATGTGGCTCTGCCACACCAAGGTAAACGTCTTGCTGTCTCCATTATGTGCTTGGGTTACAGGTTGATTACACGTGATCTATGATAATCTACAATCTATAGTCTACACTACTATAGTGTTGTTGTTTTTTTAAAATTATTTCCTTGCCTAAAAGTTCTATTTCAAAGTTGCAATACTGCACCATAGGTTTCCCTCTACTTTCTGTGTAACAAGATGAGAAAAAACAAAAGAGGGAGGAGTGGGGAAATGGATAAGATAAACAAGGATTTTTAGTTTCCAAAGAAACTAAAAAAGTCATTATAGAATTAAAATATGCGCTAATGGCGATAAAGAGTAGAATGGAACTGTTTGTGTATTTGCTTTGTGGCTTTCTATATTTTCCAAATGTTTTGATTTACTATCTCAGAATAGACTTAGATAATAAAAGTAACAAAAAGAAAATGAGATTTTTTTAAAATATCTTCACAATGATATAAAAATATCAAGTAATTCTGCATAATCTAATGGATGTGTTAGTTCTCTAGGGGAAAAAGTATAAAACTTAATGAGAGATATAAAAGATCGAAATAAATAGATGAAGTGTGATCATGGATTGGAAAACTGAACATTTTAATGATGTTACTCTTCCAAAATTGATCTGTAGAGTAAATGAAATAGCAGTCTAAATTCTAACAGGCTTTTCTTTGGTGAAAATAAATAAGCTGGTTCTAAACTGTAGATGGAAAAGCCTAGGGCCAAGACTAGCCAAAACATTCTAGAAGAAGAACATGGAAGAAATCTTTCTACCATACATAAAAGCTTATTGTAAAGAAAGAATCATAATGAAAGTGTAATTTGGCGTAAGAATAAACACATAAATTAATGGAATAGAATAGAGGACTCAAAAATTGATATATGCATTTATAAATGCTAGATTTATAACCAAGGTAGTGACAAAGAGTAGCTACAGTAAAAATAACTATGTTTTAATAAATGAGGCTGAGATGAATCGGTGTACATTTGAAAAAATGAAATTGGCCTGTTGCATCACACCATATACAAAAAGCAATTCTTGGTTGATGACAGATTGATGTGAAAAGTGAAACCATAAAGCTTTTAGAAGATAATATAGGAAAAATCTTAATAACCTCAGGTTAGAACATACTTTTACACACAAAAAAGCACACATCATAAGGAAAAGAACTGAAGAACTGTGCATGAAAAGATGCTACAAATAAAGTAGAGAGGAAAGCTATAGAATTAAAGATATTAGCAACATATAACTCTGACAAAGAACTCTCATCCCTAAGGGGGCTGAATGAGCCTTTGTGGTTGATTCGTGGGTGACATTTCTAAGGCAGGGAGGCTACAGCTGCAAGAACAAAGTGCCTTTCTATTTTGTTAGGCCAGTGGATTTGCTTTGCTTCTTGTTGGCCTTCCACATAGAGGCCACAGGGGCATTGTACATAGTTGAAATTTCGTTCACATTCTGACATTATATAGGGTTTCATTTCTCCTTTGCAGTGCTGTGGTTTTCATTTTTTCTTTGTGTCTTCATATGTGTTTTAGGCAGGATTTGAAGTTGTCTGGCTCAAACTTCAAGTCAGATGCGGTCTTAACCCTTTTTTTTTCTGTTCCTAAAATCTTTTTGTAATCTTTACTGTAGAATTCTTAATGTTGACATAAATTTATGAATTTGATATATTTTGTGTTTTCCTATATTCTCTGAAAATTATATCACAATATTCTTCTGTATTGAAAGATAGTCCTATATAATATTTCTAATTGAATAATTACAATTTCTTTGTTCAGGTTGTAAGCTAACTAATTTACCATTCCCTTATCCTGGGGCATTTTAGATTCCCTTTTTCATAAAGACAAAAAAAATTTCAGTGAGAGACTTCTTGAATAAAACTTACAAGCCATAAAATTATATTTTAGATAAGTTCTCTGGAGTAAGATAACTAGGTCAATGTGTATAAGTAATTGTATGCTTTTAAAATATCTTGTAATTGGCCAGGCATGGTGGCTCACACCTGTAATCCCAGCACTTTGGGAGGCCAAGGCGGGTGGATCACGAGGTCAGGAATTCAAGACCAGCCTGACCAACATAGTGAAATTGCGTCTCTACTAAAAATACAAAAACCAGCCTGGCATGGCGCCTGTAATCCCAGCTACTCGGGAGGCTGAGGCAGGAGAATCACTTAAACCCGGGAGTTGGAGGTTGCAGTGAGCCGAGATCGTGCCACAGCAGAGTGACACTTTGTCTAAAAAAAAAAATATATATATATAATATATATATTATTCTCTCTCTCGCTATATATATATATATATATATATATATATATATATATACACACACAAAAAAAAAACCACAAAAGAGGTGATTTTTTTCCTTTTGCCTTGTTTCTCAACTCACAGAGTTGCACAGCTGCACAGTTCCAGTACGTGAATTGACTTCTACTTTAATTTATCATACCTGATTCAGTAAGTGATTCTGTAACCTTTACTTTCAAACATCTCTGACACCATTGCCTTCTTTCTTCTCCATTGTCACCTTCCTCCCCAGTGAACAGAGGCAGCAGTAACCTAACTGGACTCTAGCCTTGCACTGAATCCTTCTTCTAGCCTCAGACTACTTCACATTGCCTTTAGAGACATCTCCCACATACAGTCATAACCATGTCATTCCACACCCTAAAAACTCCAACGGTTCTCACACAAAATAGAGCCAGTCCTTAGCATGTCAGAACTTCCACACTTGATTCAGCCACCTCATCAGAGTCATATCCACACCCTCTTTGACCTGTGATCACACAAGTGAATTAGCCATTCCCCTAAAATGACTTAATTACAAACCATATCCCACCACTTATGAGACTGTGCACAGTCTCTACCAGATTTTCAGACTTTCTTTAAGAAAGTTATATCTTAATCATATATGAATACCCTCATCTTCACCACCCCATGCCTAGCAGAAGGCCTAGCATGCATAGGATCTTTTTAGCTATAACTAAAGGACTGAATTGAACTCAACTGGATTGACGGATGAACAATCCTTACTCAAAAGATATTGAATGTTCAGTATTTTTTTAATGGAAGTAATTTATGCTGGTGCAGAGGTCTCTTTATGACAAGAGCCCATCTGAGATTTTGTAGGAACACTTAGAAAAGGATAGAAGTCTTGTTCATTACAGAAACTGATAACACAAACTAGTTAGTTATAACTAGAGGTGGTGACTTACACCTATAGCCCTAGCACTTTGGGAGGCCAAGGCGGTCGATCACCTGAGGTCAGGAGTTTGAGACCAGCCCAGCCAACATGGTGAAACCCTGTCTCTAGTAAAACAAAAACAAAAACAAAACAAAACAAAACAAACCTTGAAATTAAAGATAAATGTGCTAGAACTAGTCATCAACATATAGTCCAAAACAACAACTAATTCTGCTCTCTCAATTTTCAAACTATAAAGAAACTGGACTACCTTCTAGAAACTTCCAATCCCACATAAATTCAAGCCCTAATCTCTTACCTGGACTGTGGCAGTATACTACCTCTTAACTGATCCCCTTCCTTCTTCTTTGTACTCTCCAAAATATTTTCAGTGCCCCAGTCAGAGTGATCCTGTTAAAACATTAGCCAGATCTTGCCCCACTCTCTTCCAGTCTAAACTTCCTAATAGCTTCCCATTACACTCAGAGTAATAAACAAAAAATTTTTTTTAATAATCAACCAGAACCTAAATGACTTGATTCTCACTACCTCTTAAACTTCATCTCCTACTACCTTAACTTTCATTTACTGTGTTCCAATCATATTGACCTCTTTGCTGTTCCCTGAAAAATCACCCACTTCCCTACCTCAGCCTCTTTGATTTTTGTTGTTTTCTCTGCTTGGTACGTTCTCTTCTCAGATATACACACAACCACTTCCTTACTTCCTTTTGCCATCTAAAATTTCGACTCCTCCTGCCACAGTAGTTAATAATGCCCTTTTCTGCTTTATTTTGGTCTCTTGGCACTTAATGCTATCTGGCAGGGTATAGATTTTACTCTTATGCATTGTCTGCCTCACCAATGGAGAGTAAGCTCCATGTGGAAATGAATTTTTGTCATTTTTGTTTATTAATGATTTCCTGAAACCTAGGACAGAACTTAAGGAATAGCAGGGAATTGATTATGAAGTCAATAATGAGCAAATAAGAAATTCCATGGAGAAGAATTTGCTTTTTGGTTCACTACATGACATAGAATGAGACAGATATGACAACATGGTTTAAAATGTTTAAAAACTGAGAGGGTTAAAACAATAGAATTTCTTGATGGAAATTGTTATGGACTGAATGTTTGTCCCACCCCACCTCCAAATTCATGCATTAAAGCCTAGCTCTGTATTTGGAGATAAGGCCTTTATGGAGGTAATTAAGGTTAAATGAGGTCATAAGGGTAGGGACCTGATCTGCTAGGATTAGTCCTCATAAGCAGAAATGCCGGAGAGCTCACTGGCTCCCTGCCATGTGAGGACACAGCAAGAAGGTGGCCATCTGCACATAAGGGAGAGAGCCCTCACCAGGAACCAGATTGGATGGCACCTTGATGTTGGACTTTCCAGTCTCCAGAACTAGAAGAAATAAATTTCCGTTAAGACACCCAGGTTGTGGTATCTTGTTACAGCACCTGAAGGGGACTAAGATAGAAATGTACCTTAAAACTAATCTAACCTAAGTCTCTTACTTAAAGGATAAGAAAACTGAAGCCAGAGAAGTTAAGTGGCTTTCTAAAGGTCACAAAGTCAGTATATACCAGAACTAAACCCATTAACCACGTGGCAGTTCAGTGCTTTCTCTACTTACTATGCTGACTCTTATACCACTCTATGTAGTATATGATTAACATAAGGCAGACATTCTTAAACCTTATTCTCATGGAACTCTGTTCTTCCAAAGGCTGTAGCAGGCATTTTGCTATTAAAAGTTAAGGGTGATGGTCTTTTCACAATATCTTATGGGGGTATTTAACTGATTTTTTTCACTACAGTTTTCACTACAGTTTTGTGTTTTTTGCCAATAAATTTTTCTTTTCCTATAAATACAAAAGAAATATATATATATATTTATATATATATTTATAAATATATTTATATATATATTTATAAATATATATATTTATATATATTTATAAATATATATATATTTATATATATTTATAAATATATATATTTATATATATTTATAAATATATATATATTTATATATATTTATAAATATATATATTTATATATATATTTATATATATATATCTGAAGAAATTCTGAACCATAATTCTCTAAAAGTAATTCTGTCCTTTGGAGATGTAGTAGGATGGATACATTAAATATGGGTAAATTTTCTGCTGGTACAATTGATCCTAATTCAAATGACAGAATTAATGCTACTCAGAATTTTATTGTGGGGATCAGAAAAGTCAAAAAGAGTCCCTTGACTTTTCAGAGCCCTGCTTCCTGGACTTGTTTGAAAGGCACTGATGTAACAGCATGACACAGCTGCTCAAAAGCTATTATGAGCCTAGGCTGAATCAATAGAAGATAAGTGTGCAAATCACAGAGATCTCAGTCCCTCTGGACTTGGCACTATTAGAACATGTGCATGTTATTATATCTATCTGTTGTCTATTCCTGGATCCTATCTTTAAGGTGTTACTGACTGGCATTCATGGGTAATGTTAAAGGAATAGGGAATAGTTTGGGAAGTGATGACTTAGGGGAATAAGAAGCTGTTTTCAGAACTTTGAAGGGCTGAAATAATGAGGGAATGGATTTGTTTTGTATTGTTTCATGTGCAAAATCAAGCTCTGTGCACAAACACTGCAGAGAAGTAGTTTTTCACTCAATATAAGACCAATTAGAGTTGTTATCCCTGGAACTGTTCCCTAGTAAAAGTAATAAAATGTGTTGAAAAGTACTAGAAATGTACCAGCCATCAATCCAGAATATACAGAGGAAATCCTGTTTAGGAAGTGATTTAAAACAGTTGATCTCAAAAGGCTATTACAACACAAAGATTCTGCCCTTCTATGAATACAAAGAACTGGATTATTTATTATAACGAATATGTTACAAGCAAGTGCAATGGCTGGGTTTTTTTTTTTTTTTTCATGCCTTGTAAAGGGGAAGAGGGTAAAGGTAGAAAGGCCCTGGATGACTAAAATGAATGTAAAAGGAAAAAGAAAAAAAATGAATGAAGAGGAAAAAGGAAAAGAAACTGTAAATGCACAATTTGCCTAAGTCTTGGCCTGTTTTTCAATGAGAAACTCTGCACTGAGATAAATTCTATTCCTGGTGGCTGCCCATGCACACACGTGGATTAATGCCTTGGCTGTCTTAAAAAGTCAGCTACAGTCTCTGAGACCCTCAATTTTTACTTAGCTGCTGAGATATTCATGAATGCTATATAAAAGGAGAAAGAAAACCATTAGAAGAAATATTTTCAAGGATGATATTTCAAATTATTGCTTATTTAAATAAATATTGCTACCTTACATTAAAGAGATAATAAGATACTAAAAGCTTGAAAATTTTTTTTGATTCTAAGAGCAGGTAGAACATACTTATCCTTAAATAACACCTTTTCCTTTTAATAACATCTAAGCAATGAGATTTTTACCTTTTTTTCTTGGTGGTTTCTTCTTTAGTCATTTGTTTCTTTCTTTAATGAGTCCTTCCTAATGATGTTTTATTTTTCACACTTTTATCTGTTTTCTCTTTTTATTAATGCTTATAGTATTCATTTTTATTTTTGTAGTATATTTTATTCTTTTTCTCTTTTGAAAAGTCATACTTGAATAAAGTACATGTCTCAAAAAAAGACAAGGACTTTTGCATTTTATATTGATTCCTTAATTTTAAAATTTTTAGGTTAAGAATAATTCTGTACTATCCATAAGTATTGCTTTATGATGACTATGCTTAAGTTGTTGGTATATGTTATAATATAGCATTTCAACCCCAAATACAGATTTCTGTTCTGTACTCTTGGGAATTTATGGAGGAGGAGAAGACAAAATTTACCTTCTTCAAGTCTAAAAATTATCACATTTGGGACACATAAATCCCCATGTATCTCTTTAAGGACAGCATATTATTTTTAAAATTAAAATATAAATGTCTAAAGTAGAGAAAAAATAAGTTCACCTTGTCCTTATATGGAAATTAAAGATGGTTGCTTAAAGAATAATTTAGAATGGCAAATGTCTGAAGGTTTGCTGTAAATTCCCTGAGATCTTATATGATGTTCACACCGACTCAGACACATACAAATGTCATCTCTACAGAACGGCCCTGAAGAGAGCAATCCTGGGAGCCCGGTTCCCCTGTTGAGGCCCCTACTTGGGTCAGCCCTATAGGGCAGCAGCTTGTACACTGGGCCCTGCTCCCCTTCCCTCTCCTACTGACTTCAATTCCATTGTTTTTTCAAGACCTTTCTAAGTGGCAGGAATAAAACTGATGATTTAATCTATACCAAGACATTAATGATTAATAGTGGCCCCATATATTTTCCCTTACATTTAATGTTTGTATTATAAGGGCTTTTTATGCCTTAGCTGAAAGTGGTGGTAGGAATTTTAGGCCCACATCATACACACATCTGCAAATAACCAATCTTTTTCTCATAGCTATAATTATGCATTGGCATTTTATTTACTTCCTGCAATTTCTCTAAGTGCATCATTTTGTTCTATATATAGTATTTTAAATAATACATCTTTAGCCTGATGTATTTTTGAAATATTTGTGGATGCTAATCCTATCTCTGTCACAGAGCTTATTTATACACACACATCTTTCTCCTCCTGCCTTAAACCCCTTGGTTTATTCTTCCCTTGTTCCAGTTTACTCTCCTATGGAACTTTTTACCATTTGATGAGATATTTTTAAGGAATTTGCAGATAATAGGAGCTTCCAGAATACCTTCACCTGACTCATGCTTCGGCATAAAGTCCCCATATTATCCCAAAACTCATCTACATGTTTAGTTTTCAATTTTCTTATAGCCTTTTGATTACAGTGCCACTGAAAATATGTCATATTTATTGCTTTATCCACTGCTTTCTGAACATAGACAGAGACACTGTAATATTTTTCTAATACTTTGGAATAAAAAGAAGATAGATTATTTGTTGAATAAATATGTAAATACTAAAACACAAGTTACTTTCTTGTCATCATGCTATAGTCTTCATATGCTTTACACAGAGTATGATTTGGGGTAAACCCTAGTAAAGCTGAGGAACATATAAAATGTTCAGGAATCACATTCTGGAATAATCATTTAATGTTTATGCCATGCTAAAAGAGTTGGGACTATTATCTGTGGAATTAAAATTTGGAGAAAAGAAATGGTAAGATTAGCCCACTGATTGATAAGCCAGAGGTAGCACCTGTAGTTTCATGGAGGCCACAGCTCAGTGATACCTCGGTCCCTGAACTGGAAAATAAAGCTAAGCTTCCATTTGCAGATGTTCCAGAAAAAAATAAATTTTATATTTGTGTTTTTACTGTATTTTTGGTAGAGACGGGGTTTCACCATGTTGGCCAGGCTGGTCTTGAACTCCTGACCTCATAATCTGCCTGCCTTGGTCTCCCAAAGTGCTGGGATTACAGGCCTGAGCCACCGCGCCCGGCCTGGAAAGAAAGAAATTTTATGAAATCAAAGGAGCTGCTATATCTTTTTCTTTTGTAACAAACATAGGAATTTTCTTACTGGAACAAACCCATAGTTGACCTCTTATAGTACTCTATGTGTGGAAGGGAGAAAACATTGGTACTTCTACAAATGGGTTTCACCACCTTTTATAATAAAAACAGAAGATATTCACAAAAATAGCTAAAAATAAGGCTAGCATGAGAAATACACAAATTACTCTTTTTCTATTATGAAATTAGCATGCAATCTTTTTTTTTGTAAGCAATCCAACCATTTCAAAGAGGGTGTACCCTCCAGATAATAGTGAATAAAAAATTCAGTGAAAGAAAGTAAGCTTATAGCTGCTATAATTTTCAGAACCATTATGCATCCTCTTGCAGCTGGTTTTGTTGGTGCTGCTAAGCGCATCCTCCTGGGCCCATCCACTTAGTATTTATGGGCATCAACTAAGGATTGAAGACGGGAGATTAGAATAAATGTAAATCTTAGTGGATATAAGATTTTTGATGAAAATGTTTAAACGGTACTTGTATGCCACACAAGACCAATGGCAATTTTCATGTTGGTCGTAATGTTTATAAATTTAGGTATATAAATGAAGGAGAAACGTAGAGTAGAAGAAAAAAAGATCTCTGTCTTTACATATAAAAGGGCTGAAACAAATAATTACTCTTTATGCTTTGTCAGATGGTTTATAGTTTATTATGATCAATGTAATCTCATTTTTTCAAGCTGTTTTTTAGCAATCCCGAAGTGCAGGAAGATACACGCTGTTGCAAAACTGTTAAATGACTGAATCAGGACTCCAAGCCATGTTTTCTGACTTCAAGACCTGTATTTAAATTCCTATAGTATTCTTGGAAAATACTAGACTCAGGGATGTTTTCACAGAGTAATATGTTTTGAAAAATGTGTCTGCGAAACTGCCTTAAAACTTGCTATCTCCTGCAAGTCATCTGGAGTTCACCAGAAGTCTACCTTTTCAACTAGTTTCCTTATATAGGAATTTTAAAAAGTGAGCAGAAAAGCATCACACTTTACTTTTGAGAAATGTGAGGCCTCCTTGAAAGCATAATCTATTCCCTTTTAACAAATACATAGCTCACAGTAATGCAGAGTATGAGACTAGGTAGAGTGATTTTAGATGTAGTTATTTTTCCTATTTCCTTATGCCACAAAATCATTTTTTCACATACCTTGTGTAATTCCTGTGAATGATTTTCAAGGGATCTTTTGGCATGTACAATTATTTATCATCAAATATTTGTAAATGAAAGTTCTAGAGGATGAGACAGAATATAGACAGCTAATCTTACGACTGCTCTGAATGACAGGCACAGAGGCAACACAGACATTTCTGAAGGAGCAAAATGTCAGTCTGCAAAATTGCCTTTCCTAGTTTGATATTGGTCCTCACTGCTCAGAAATGAAAACGGAAAACATTCACGAGGCATTCTAGTATAATTGCCAGTGGCTGCTTCACTATATACAGTTAATTAGTATATGCATCCATACTTTTAAAAAGCAATACTTTTACATTAACAAACCAATTGTTAATTTAAAAATTAACAGGTTTTTTTTAAAGTTTTAATATTATAAGAATATTTCTGAGGTCAGTATTTATACCTCTACAGATCTACATCTAGCCACAGAAAATCCAAAATATAATTTACTTTGGAAATAAAGTTTCCCATCTGCTGGTCCTTAAGAGTAATTGCTGGTTTCACTTTGAATTATCAAAATGACATTCAGGACCAAAAAATAAGAGGCATGAAACTACTTTCATTGCTACTGTCAGCAAGTGAATGATTCACTTTGAATTTGCCTGAAGTTGTCTTACAGAACACCTGTCCAAGCTCATTCCGGTTCCCCTTTTGACGCTTTTCTTCACTCCTCTCCTAGCAAATAAATAGGGTTTCTTAGTCTAACACAAGGAATAGAAGTATAAGAAGTGGGGTCTGCTAGTAATAAGGCTTCAGGTATGTGCCTTAGGAAGTGTTTTGTTTGTTTGTTGAATGTGAAAGACTTAGCCAGGAAGGGAGAATACCATTTGCATGTATAATTTTCCAGGTTCTGTTTAAAACAGGTATTCTTTTTTCTACTTCCAAGTGAGGAGACAGGTTCCTCTGAATAGAGAAATCCTACACTCTGCTTAATATCACTTTCTGGGACAAATTTGGTTCTTATAGTTCTCCAGTGGTTACAGAATATCAAATGCAGCAAGGACCCTGGAGCTTCAGTAACTATTGGTAACTTATTAGTTGCCTCTTTTGCCAAGATAATGGCAAAAAGGAAATAATGAAAATGACATATTTTTATATTTCTGTATGGCAGTGCTGATATTTTCTTAGATCATTTTTCTAATATTAGAGGAGCTCTTTATGTTGCCTTATGACTGCTGACATTTCATTTACTTAATAAAATCAAGTTAGCAGTAGACTGTTGTAGAAAGGTAGCTGGACACTAAGTAGAAGAACTGGGCTCAAGTCTCAGATTTGTCCCTTTTGCCTGTGGTAATGGCAAATAAGTCACCTAACTCCCTGGGGCTTACACTGCTCACCCTTGAGAAAAAGAGATTGGACTTGCAGCTTTTACAGTGGCAGTGGACATGGCTAGAGCTTGGATAGTGCTGACGGGGTTCAGGAAATACTAAGGAGGATGAAGCTTTGCAGATGGTAAAATTATTAATCTATGCAATCTTCAGTTATGGCATCACCTGAAGACTCTCAGAATCTCCAGTTCTATACTTAATGAATGACTTTGAAGAGGAGGATCTATCAAAAGACTGGATCCCTCTGCATATTGTTTACAATCAGGTTAGAACTTAGATTAAATCTCAAGGAAAACAAGACTCCTAAAAGCTTACTAGTCAAGGAAGCCTTTCATGCACCTGATAGAATCCTCCATTCAGGCCGGGCGCGGTGGCTCACGCCGGTAATCCCAGCACTTTGGGAGGCTGAGGCGGGCGGATCACGAGGTCAGGAGATCGAGACCATCCTGGCTAACACGGTGAAACCCCGTCTCTACTACAAATACAAAAAATTAGCTGGGCGTGGCGGCGGGCGCCTGTAGTCCCAGCTACTCGGGAGGCTGAGGCAGGAGAATGGCGTGAACCCAGGAGGCGAAGCTTGCAGTGAGCGGAGACAGCGCCACTGCACTCCAGCCTGGGCGACAGAGCAAGATTCCGTTTAAAAAAAAAAAAAAAAAATCCTCCATCAAAGTTGGGGTGACTATGAAGTAGAATCTCTAAAGGGGGCCAGGATGTTGATTTTGTTCCAGTGCGTGTCTAATACCCAATCAGAAGATTATAGACATCTATCTCACCATTTGAGTAAATGCAAAATAAAAATAAATTACTACGAAACATTTGAAAGTTAGTGAATAAAATAGGTTGAATTCAGTAAGTGCTAAGGTCATTTCTAGGTTCAAATATTTTTGCAAAATCAGGAAGGTGCAAAGGCAAAGCACAAGCGTGCTAACAGCAAATGTGAAAAGTATGTCTTGCAGCCAAGGCATTCTATTTGTATTTTGCCTGTGTCTTAGTCCATTAGGGCTGCTACAACAAAATACCTTAAAATGGGTAATTTATAAATAATAGAAATGTATTGCTCATTGTTTGGGAGGCTGGGAAGTCCAAAAGCAAGGTGCCAGCAGATTGGGTGTCTGGTGGGAAGCCACTCTCTACTTTACAGATAGTTCCTTCTTGCAGCATCCTCACATAGCGGAAGTGGTAAAGAAGCTCTCTCAGGCCTCTTATATAAAATAAGCACTAATCGCATTCTTGAGGGTGGAATCCTAATGACCAAATTACCTCTGAAAGGTCCCAACACTTAATACCATTGCATTAGGGGTTCAGTCTCAATGTATAAATTTTGAGGGGACACAAAAATTTAGACCACAGCAGCCTGTTTATGTCATTTCCTCTGAACCATAATCATTGCTCCACCCGCTAATTTTACTCTCTCTCTCCTCTGCCTTCTCAGCTATCTACAATCAGGTTGTATAGTAACTATTTATGTGCTAATCATCTGTGATTGTCACCTTAGGGTATAATCAAGAAAATGATGCATAATGTTGGGAAATAATACTGCAGTTTAAATCATATCCATATTATATTTTTAAGCAAATTAAGAAATTTGAAACCATGTAATTAGAAGCAGTATCTTCTTATCTCTAAATATTCAAAGTATGGACAGTGCCAGGTACATTCACAGCCATTCTAATATTTGCCAAATGAAGCAAGCCTTTTTCAAATGAAATAACGTAGTTTTCACTTAAACAATCCCTAGTGTGAAATCAAGAAAATAATGCATAATGTTGGAAATTAATACTGAAATCTAAATTATATCAATATTGTATGTTTTAGGTAAGTTGGGAATTGTGTGCCCATGTAATTAGCGAGTTCATAAAATTATATTTTAACTGCTTTTCCTTCAAATTGTAGGCTTTTCTGAGAGTTTAGTTGCTATTGTTGTTTTGTCTTCATTGTTGTTTGTGAATTTGCAAGCACATTTTAAGTTTTCCATTTAAGAATAAGTTGTATAGAAATTTAATAGACTTACTACAGGTGTCCATATTACCCAAGCCTCTGGGCTGTTTGGTTCTCTCCAAATAGAATGTTGAGATCAAAATCCTTTTTGGTGCTTATATTAGTTTTCTAGGACTGATGCCACAAAGTGCCACAAACTGGGTGCCTTAAACAACAGAAGTTTGTCACCTCACAGTTCTGGAGGCCAGAAATTTGAGATCAAGATGACCACAAGTTTCGTTTATTGCTATAGACAAAATGTGTCATCCCAAAATTTGCATGTTAAAATCTTAACATTCAATGTGATGATATTAAGAAGTTGGGCTTTGGGAGGTGATTAGGTCTTGAGAGTGAAGCCCTCATAAATGGGATTAGTGCCCTTATAAAAGAGACCCCAGAGAGTTCCTTCTCCCCTTTTTGCCATGAAAAGACACAGCAAGAAGGCTGCTGTCTGTGCAACAGTAAGCATGCCTTCACCAGACACTGAATTTACTAGCAGCTGTAACTTCAACTTCCCAGCCTCCAAAACTGTAAGAAATAAATTTCTATAGTTTGCAAGCCACCCAGTTTATGGTATCTTTCTACAGCAACATGAATGGACTAAGACATTCCTCCTGAGACTAAGAGAGGATCTGTTCCATGCCTCTCTCCTGGCTCCTGGTTTGCTGGGAGCCCTTAGAGTTCCTTGATTTGTAGATGCATCACTTCAATCTCTGCCTTTGTGTTCACATGGAATTCTCTCTTTGTGCATGTCTCTGGGTCCAGATATCCCCTTTTTATAAGGACAGCAGCCATATTGGATTATAGCTCACCCTGAAGGGCTCGTCCTAACTACATTTGCAATGACCTGATTTCCAAACAAGGTCATATTTTGAGATATTTGGGATTAGAACTTCAACGTAAAAATTTTTGGAAGACACTATTCAACCCATAACAATGCTCATTTGTTAAGATAAAACCAAACAAAAAAGAACATTTTAAAACACAAAGATTATCTTCATAGCCCTCTACAAACTAAAAACATATATATATATATATATATATATATGTAACATATAATAACATATAAAAGCATAAAAATATATACAGGTTTCTCAGACATACACATTCTCTTAATATTCTGGGCTCTGGACTAATATATATATATATATATATATATATATATATATATATATATATATATATATATATGAGTTTTTTTGAGTGCAAAGAGCTTGGGTGAGCAGAGTGGGAAATGAGATGAAAGAGGTAAAAGGGTCTTGGTTTTAGGAGGATGGGAAACCACTGAAGGTTTTCCAGTAATTGAAGGTTTTCCAGTAGACATTTGACATCATCGGATTTGTGTTTTTTTATATATATAAATATATATGCTGATTGCAATGTTAGAACTGATAAAAGCCAGGCTTAAGTGATTGGCAGACTGTGGTAGAAGACAGCTGGGAGCTGGCAGCTGGACTGTGCTGCAGTGGTGGTGGTGGTTGTTGATAAAAACCATCACCTTCAGTAGCTATGTGTTGGGTAAAATGAACACGATATTGTGATGCAGTGGCTGTGGGAAGAGGGCAGGGGAAACACCAGGGACGATTCCCACTTTCTTATCCACAATGCCAAGAGAGAAAACACTGGATACAGACCAGTTTTGTGGAGAAAACCATGATTTTATATTTGCAAATATAACACTGGAGTTGGATGTGGCTTTGTGAGACTCCAGTGCACATAGCAAGTAGGCAATTGTATGCTTCCATCTGGAGCTCAAGAGGAGGTCTTGATGAGACATAAATTTTGAGGTTGTCTATGTACAGTTGATGGAAACCTGGGTGTGGGAAAGTTGTCACCTTCAGAGAGAAAATAGAATGAAACAGGAAGAGTGGCTAAAAATAATCTTTAAGACACTTCAACATCTAGCTTCTAGGCAGAATAACACACTTCAAACTCAGGAAGCTCTGGACTCAGGAAAGCCAAGAGAAGAGGATGGCTCAGGAGGGAAGGGGGAGCTGAGTGTTGCTGAGAGGCCCAATAAGATGAGAGCCAAAGGAGCCAGTGAACTTTGTAATATGGAGCTTCTTGGTGCCCTAAAACTTACTATTTGGTAGAATAATAGGTGGGAAAGCCAGAACAAAGTAGGTTGAAGAGGGACCAGGAAGGACAAAAATGGTGAAAGCAAGAATAGGGTAAATAAGCGAACCAGCTAGAAAATATAGGAGGCTGTGATAAGAGTTGGGGATGCTTGAATTAGAGATTTTGGAGCTGGAAAAAAGTGTAATAACAATGACATATAGTAAAGATATACAGATGAAGATGGATTAAGCAGCTGAAGTTAAAAAAAGATTATTAAAAACAATAAGCTACAGACTGGGTGCAGTGGCTCATGCCTGTAATCCCAGCACTTTGGGAGTCCAAGGCATATGGATCACCTGAGGTCAGGAGTTTGAGACCAGCCTAGCCAACATGGTGAAACCCCATCTCTACTAAAAATACAAAAATTAGCCAGGTGTAGTGGTGCAGGGCTGTAGTCCTAGCTACTTGGAAGGCTGAGGCAGGAGAATCACCTGAACCCAGGATGGGGAGGTTGCAATGAGCCAAGATCGTGCCACCGCACTCCACCCTTGGTGATAGAGTGAGACTCTGTCTCAAAAAGAAAGAAAAGAAAGGCCAGGCACGGTGGCTCATGCCTGTAATCCCCACACTTTGGAAGGCTGAGGCGGGTGGATCATGAGGTCAAGAGGTCGAGACCATCCTGGCCAACATGGTGAAACCCCGTCTCTACTAAAAATACAAAAATTAGCTGGCGCATGCCCAGCTACTCGGGAGGCTGAGGCAGAAGAATCACTTGAACCCAGAGGTGGAGGTTGCAGTGAGCCAAGATTGCACCACTGCACTCCAGCCTGGGCGACACAGTGAGAAAATGCAATGAGATACAAAATTAGAAATCATATTCTCAGATGAGTGGCATGCATACTCTAGGATGGGCAGGTCCTCACCAGACCCAAAGACTCTCAACAGTGAGGAGGGGGTCTGGGAGGTTGGAGATGACAGCAAGATGGAGACTGAGAGGATGATGTGCCGGATGGCATGAGCCTCACAACTGTGACCTTTATACAAGGGCTTGAGGAGATCAGGCATGACTAGAAACTTAAGCCTCAGTTCCACCCACAAACCTGGACTGCTGGGGATGGCAGAGAGAGGCAGCCACCCTTTGAAAAGCCTGCAGAGGAAGCAGCAGCGTGGGGAGTGCAGTTAGTACAGAGTGGGAGGGAAGACTTGCAAGGGAGATATTTGAGAGAACTCTTAAGATTTTTGGAATGGATTTCAGAAAGCACTGTGGAGGCCTGGCACATTGGCACATGCCTGTAATCACAACACTTTGGGAGGCTGAGGCTGGAGGATCACTTGAGGCCAGGAGTTCAAGACCAGCCTGGGCCACACTGCAAGACCTCCATCTATACATAAAATTTAAAAATTAGCCAGGCATGGTAGCATGTAACTGTAGTCCCTGCTACTCATGAAACTGAGGTGGGAGGATATGTGGAGCCCAGGATTTCAAGGCTGCAGTGAGCTATGATCATGCCACTGAACTCCAGGCTGGACAACAGGCCACTATCCTGTCTCGAAGAAGGAAAGAAGGGAGGGAGGGAGGAAGGGAGGGAAAAAGAGAGAGAGAGAGAGAAGACAAGACAAGACAAGACAGTAGAAAGATTTCAAGAGTTGTTGGGCATCAGAGAAGTACAGGGCTGATGATGGGAATAGTGATGCATATGGTAGAGAATGAATACCTGAATACCTGCAGGTGTGCGCTTTCACTTCAGTATTACACCATGAAAATGGGATTGCAAAGCATGTAAACATCAGCACTGGTACTGCAGATGGCTGGAGAATGCATCCCACTCAGCTGGGGTGGATGTGGTCCCAGGAGTCCCAGGCAATTTGGTATGATGTGGGTGCTTCAGTATCAGCCAGGTACAGCTCACAGGATATGTCTAAAGGAGCAACTGAATTTTTCAGACAGATTTGTAGACCCAATTTTGTAAATATCACTTTCATGGAAAAGTGGGGAGAGGTGACACAAAGTCAAATCAAATATTAATTCTGTTTGAAGCGATTCCAAAATAGTCATTGTATACCACATGGTTAGAATCATTAATTAATGGCTTAAATTATTCATTATTTTTAGCTGTTTTTGTATTCTGTAGTTATAGCCTAGAGCTGTACTTTAACAAAAAGCAACAATATTTACCTATGTGAAGTAGTTATGAGTATGAGGAGGTAATTTTTTAAGGTGCTTAGAAAACAGGTTTGTAAAATAGCAGACTTTTAACAAGCAAAGAAAATCAGTGCTGAGAAAGCTAGTTAGTAACATCTCATTAGTAAGACTTTTTTCATTTTATAATAATTAATTAGGCAGCCACATTAGGCAATAATGAGAGCTAGTAATCACTTTTTTATTATGGAAATTAGACTGGACTCATTTTAAAACAACACTTAATGCATATGCTGTAATGAATATGGAAAAGTATAAGTTGCTTAAGCAAAATGTATAAGATTTTGTACTCCTCCCACAAAAATAAGTGACTAAAGATGGGTTGAAAAGCAGAGTTACTTTTCTCAACTTGTGGATTGTGGAAGTACATTCTCTTTGTATTCTTGAAGGACTGAGTTTATAAGGTGGACTGATTTTGTATTCTTTGGGATAGTATTATTCTGGACAGGATGCATTTCATTTTCTTAATCCTTTGCCACTAGAAATGCAACAGAGGTTATTAACTCTTGTTATTTGTGCAGAATCTTGGATCACTTAAATTATTTGCTGCATATTTAAGAGACTCACAACTAAATGTAGAGTTTTAAACATCTACTGGAGTATAGATTGCTCTCAAGTTGTCAATTTGATGAATCCTAAACTGTCCTAGTCAAATTTTGCACTCCTCTGAAGACCTTAAAGAGGTAACTTTTGTAAGAAGCAGAATGTATAACTTTACCTTCTGAGAAATTAGACAATTGCAATATGACCTTTTCAGGCATAGTGGGGTGTGGCTTGAATGCTTGAATGTTTGTTCTTACCACTTATTTTCCAGATAAGCTAACAAATACTTAGAGAAATCAAGATGCTCAACCAGAGTCCCACACAGAGACCATACTTCAGTGATGTTTATGCTCTTTGTTGCTCAAAGTCATGCCAGAATATCTTCACTGTTAATGGCACTGTAGGTCCTTATCTTCATTCCCTAGGCCTTACATACCTTCTATATGCAAATGACATCAAAATTTATCTCTCACACCATCCTCTTTCCTGAGCTGAAGACTTGTATTTTCAACTTGCTATTTAATAGCTCCCTTCAGAAACCTCATCAGCATCTCGATACTGGCATGGCCTGACCTGCCTCCAACCCCCCTCATCATCTTGGTGGATGCAGCGGTGACGCAGCCAGTTGCTGATGCAAAAAATCCCAAAAATCCCAGGAACCTCTTTCCGTTCTCTTACTCCCACACCTCATGGAGACCCTCATGAATCATCCAGTAGGATATACTTTTTTTTTCTTTTTCTTTTTTTTTTTTTTTTTTTTTTGAGACAGTGTCTTGCTCTGTCAGCCAGGCTGGAGTAAAGTGGTGTGATCTTGGCTCACTGCAACCTCTGCCTCCTGGGCTCAAGAAATTCTCCTGCCTCAGCCTCCCAAGTAGCTGGGATTACAGGCATGCATCACCATGCCTGGCTAATTTTTTTATATTTTTAGTAGGGAAGGGGTTTCACCATGTTGGCCAGGCTGGTCTCAAACTCCTGACCTCAAGTGATCTGCCCGCCTCGGCCTCCCAAAGTGCTGGGATTACAGGCGTGAGCCACCACGCCCGGCCCAATAGAGTACACTTTAACATTAGAAACGAAGTCCTATCGTTGCCAACTTTAAGACCTACCCTATATCTAACTTCTCACCACTATCCAAACCACAAACAACCTTTCACTTCCTCCACTGCAGTCACTTCTTGGCTGGTCGTTCTATTTACTACATGGCAGAATATTTTATTTTCTAAAATACAAATCCAGTCTCCCCACTGCTCACAATTCTCTGGCATCTTCTTATCACTCTTAGGATGAAACTGTGACTCCTCCCCAGTCTTACCCATGACTCCTCTGCTTTGCCCAGACATCCAGCCACACAGGTGAATGTACTGACAGCTTCCAAGCTCTTACCTTTGCCCCTTGTGATGGTTAATATTGAGTGTCAACTTGATTGGATTGAAGTATGCAAAGTATTGCTTCTGGGTGTTTCTAGAAGAGATTAACATTTGAGTCAGTGGACTGGGAGCGAAAGTCTCCCAGTGTGTGGGCACCATCTATTGGCTGCTAGCAGGGCAAGAAAAAGCAGGCGGAAGGAGGTGGAAGGTGTTGACTTGCTGAGTCTTCTGGTCTTCATCTTTCTCCCATGCTGGATGCTTCCTGCCCTTGAACATCAGATTCCAAGTTCTTCAGCTTTTGCACTCTTGGACTTACATCAGCAGTTTGCCAGGCTCTCGGGCCTTTAGCCACAAACCGAAGGCTGTTCTGTCGGCTTTCCTACTTTTGAAGTCTGGGACTGGGACTGAGCCACTATTGGCTTCCTTGCTCCTCAGCTTGCAGAAAGCCTATTGTGGGACTTCACCTTGTGATTGTGTGAGTCAATACTCCTTAATAAACTCTTTTTCATATATACATATATCCTATTAGTTCTGTCCCTCTAGAGAACCCTGACCTACTATACCCTTATTTCTGCCTAGAAGGTTCTTTCCCCAAATCTTTAGTTGTCATGTCTGTTTATCATTCAGCTTCCCGCTTAAATGTCACCTACTAGGAAGAGCCTTCCTCAACTGTCCTGTGTCAGAAAGTCCACCACCCACCCCAGCACCCCTCCAGCCCTGCTCACTTTCTTCAACATATATATCACTATCCGAAAGTATTGATTCATTTCCCTATTTATTTTCTGTCTTTCTTTCCAAAATGTGGGCAGGAGGAGCTTGGCTTTGCTTACTACTGTCTCCTTAATGCCTGCATAGAGGAACAGAGTTCAGTAAGTATTTGTCGAATGAAGAATAGTGATACACTTCTTCCTATAATTTGATTTTTAACCTCTGGAGATTATCAATTGGCTCACCTCCCTGCTAAAAGGAAACCTGATTTATTGTAATAACCCTACGTTCTCTACGCTACTCTATCCCCAAAACTCTGCTAATCATATTATTTCCATGTTGTTATAATTAATGTTACTTTTATCCCATTTTATAACTTGAATTTCACAGTTGTTTAGATGCTATTCTATGTTTGCATGGATTCAATATTCGCCATCATTTCTCTACTGTGTCTTCCTTATCCATCTCATGGTTGACTGTAGTTTACTATTTAATAACTTTTTAAAGAAATGCTCGTGAGAGTTAAAGTCCGAGAACACTTGTTTGTTGGGTAATATAAACCCTCCACCTATGTGGCAGTTTTTATGGGCATGGTCATTATTGGATCATAACTTCCACCTCTGAGCATTTTGCAGACGTTCCACATCTCCTAGGACTGATCTCTGGATACCCACAGAAATATTTGCTCTTCTTTTTCGATAAATTTCCTGTAATATTCTCATTTTTACCAAAGCCTACAAGTATTCCTTGGAAGTTTCTACTTTCAGCAAATTCAGTTCTCTCTTGTAAAGTTACTTTTCTATTACATTATTATTTTTAAAATGTCATCTGTTATTTCTAGTTGCACGTTTTGTCTTTCATTATTTTTGTCTCTTTACTAATATTAATCAACTTTTTGTCCTTTTCCATTTTATTTTGTTCATTTTTTTCTCATTTGTCCTAGATGCCTCTGATGACATTTTCAGTAAAGCCAGTTTCTCCTCTTGCTGATTTTCATTTCTGTGTTGATTTTTTCCCTTCCATTTCTTTCCAAAATCTATCAGTTCACTTTTCAACTACCTCCATTGTCCTATAATATCTTACCTGGGAGCTTCTAGACCTTCTTTGGGCTCCTGTTACTTACATGACATATAGTCATACATTTTATCTGATTTGTCATACCTCTTGTTTGATATATATAGTCTTTCTCTGGCCTTCTGTTTGCTGTCTCTCTCTCTCTTTTTTTTTTTTTTTTTCATTTAGGTAGTATCTTTGCATAGGTCTCATGCTTTCTTTTTGGTATTTACTCATCACTGAATAAGGGAACTAATTCGGTTATGAAGATAAAAACCAGCTATTTGCACTAGGAGAGTATAAGGAAGGGACAAGGATAGTAACCCAGGACAATGCAACACAGTTTGCACTGTACTCTGATGTCTTCAGCATACTCATGCATCCTCTGCCCCAGACATAAATGTGCCCTCAGCTAGCAGGAAAAC